>NW_003315922.2:0-119183 GCF_000001405.40 Homo sapiens
CACTTTTTATTTCGACTTTTTGTAACACGTATTTGACTGTAGTTTCAGATATTCAGGTGAAACATTCTAGAGTACCAGGATTCTGATCTGACTTGAGAGCTCTTGATCCTATAAGGAAAATGCAGGCTTAAGTTATCTTTGCCTTGGACAAGTACATGAAAGAAAAGAAATTCTAGCTGACCTGACTACTGACTGGCTCGAGAGGTAACATAGTTAGGTACTCTCAAATTTACAGTCCAAAGTATGACAGTATGTTCCCCTGCCAGCAGATTCATGAAACCTGATGTGTAAAAATTACCTTCATATTACAGTGTGGCTTATTCAAGTATTTTTACTAAGCACTCACAGGGTTAATGTCTTTAATGTTTGAGCAGACTTTTTAGAATTTTGGTTTGATGAAAAGTAGGCCATGAACATTTGCTGAGTACTTAGATGTAAAGAGTTCTGAGTGATTATAGTCATGAATTTAAATGAAATGTATTTAACTTCCAGGGTGAAAAGGAACAGCCTGTATTTGCAATGACCGGCCTTCGATGGGGATCTTTCAGAGATGCTGGCGTCAAAGTTAGCAAGTAAAGGATTACTATATTGATGTGTGATGTTTTTTAAAAAAATCTTATTCTGTCCCTGCCTTTCAGGTTTTAATTCACAGTGATCTTCTGGGAATAAATTTGGTGGGCCTGGAGGTTGAATTATGTGTGAATAATGGAGGTAGGAACAATCAGGTAGAGGTTTATGTCCTATATGCAGAAAGGCTGGGGAAAGTTGCAGCTTCCTCAACACTAGCTGGGCAGTAGCTGAAGAGGAGAAGGGTATGTCTCTATTTTTAGACACACTATTTGAGCATAGGTTAGGCTCAAGCTAGGCTGTAGGGAGAACTGGATTGCCTATCATTCTGCAGCTGCTTAGCTGGGTACCAAGTGGAAGGGACTGCCTGGGCTACAGCCTTACGGAGCTGTTGCAGTCAGACAACTTTTCCTGAGAGGTATTTTTGTGAAGGCCTCGCAGATTGGGAGACCACAGGCCGCTGCTCTTAGAGGAGGAAGAAAGGCGGCGCCTGGCTGTGCTGTGAGATGGGAGAAACAGGCCTATCGAGGAGCTGATTAGAGGGCCAGTGTTGGCTTTTCATGAGAATTGACTTATTTTTGGAGAATCCATTGTATGCAATGAAACTCTTGGCTTGGAGAGAGGGTGTGTCATGTTCCATTTGCTGTGGAGAGGTAAAGTAGGCAAGGGCTTGCTGAGCAGGACTGCAGGGGACACCATGTGAGATTCGCTTCATACCTGGTGGTGGTATTTTCTCTTTACCTTTTCTTAAAATCGAGGGCTTACAGTTTGAGTATAGTTTAAATGAATTGTGGCTGATCTCACACATAGCTCTCAAGAAATTGCTCTTTCACTTAATAGGCCAGCCTGCCATGCTTTTTTTTTTTTTTTAACAGAAATTTCTCTCACTTGTTTCACTTTATTATTCTTGCTAATGAGATTCCTGACAGTGAAATGTCAAAAGAGAGACATTACCATATTATATTACACATTGCATTCTGAAGTATTTCACATCTTTTTATTTGCAAGTGTGCCATGATTATGGGATTCTACAAATTACCTTGTGTTTGATCTGAAATCTCAAATCCAGCAGCTCACCAAGAGAAACTGCTTAGCTTTCCCCAAAAAAGTCTGGTTAGGACAAATTGCTTTCCAAAATGTGTTAAGCAACAAGAAAGCACAGTACAGATCAACGCTTTTAGGACTATTTTATATACTAGCCCCATATCTCGATTGGTTTCTGCACAAAGAATTTTAAAATTCTGATTGTTATTATGTGCTACCTTGGCTAGGCCCTTCCACAGAGTTGCTGTTTGTATTAAGAAAGAAATGGTAGAGATATGAGAAATCATTTCCTAGCTGGCTGTAGGAAGACTACAAAGTCAGTGGCAAAATGTACTATTGGTAGAGATGAAGGAAACTGAGGAAATTTTAGAAGGTAACTGCCTGAGTTGAGATGACCTTCTACTTGGCTAACTAGGGAAAGAAGCAAACTATAAAGTAAATTTTAAAAAATAATAACACAAAAAATCAGATGATCAAGGGCCTCATTAGTAGTAGCACAGTATCAACCTGAATAATAATTTAGAATGTTTCTGCATTCCCTCTTGGATTATATCTAAGCTCTTTGTCTGTTATTCCAGGCCCAACTTACTCTGTCATCACCCCTAATTATATAATTATGTATCTTTACTTCTAAGCTTTTCTCTCTTTCTCTGACTGTTATCCTATTTCCCATACTCTAAGTTTTGTACCCTGACTTTATTCTGTGCCATTCATTTTATAGGCATGGCTGCTCCAGTGATTTTAGGCCCTTAATGACTTTGTCTCTTTTTGATTCCCCTTACCAATAAGCAGTGATCAGTTTATGCTTTTCCTTATAGTCATTCATTGTTTGCTTTTACATATTTGGGTCTTATTTTCTCAAATCATAAGCTCTCAAAGGTGGGAAATTTATACTTTATATTTCTTCTGTTTCCTCCGCATTCATAGTGGGTGCTAAATAAATGTATATGATCAGAATCAACAGAGAGCAGTTAATGTTGAGTGATTTGTTAACAGAGATAAGTTTTAAGAGAAGAATCTATTTTATGCCGTTTTCTAATTCCGATTAGGTGTCTTCCTCTCTCCAGTAGCTTTTATGTATTTAGCAATATGCAATAGATTCTCGTTATTCCCAGATTTAACATTTGCCATTTTAGAGCTATATAACATGAGTAATGTGAAATTATGCTGGTTTACACATTTTTAATTGAGTGTGCATATGTGCATTTGTGTGTGTGAGAGGACATGGTGTACAGGATCTAGTCATTTAGCTTGGGATCAGCACATCAGAGCATGCAGTGTTTGCATCTTAGTGTGGCTGTATCATCCTTTACTCATAGCTCTTTTGAACGTACACTTGACCCATTGTATCCATAGATGTAAACAAATGCAGATAGAGAATATTTGGGGAAAAAAATATTCCACAAAATTCCAAAAAGCAAAACTGGAATTGGCTGCACACCGAGTACTGTGTTGAATCCGTGCAAATAAAGTGATGTGTAGGCACTGTATTAAGTGTTATAAGCAATGTAGAGATGATTTAAAATATACAAGAGAATGTACATAGGTTACGTGCAAATATGCCATTTTATATCCGGGACTTGAACATCTGCAGACTTTGGACTGAGGGACAACTCTATACCAAACTGTATTCTATGGCTTAAAGGATGTGTTTAAAGGATGTTGTGAATTTAGTGACTCAAGGAGCCTGGTTATATATCTCTCATAAATTGCAAGAATCTTTACTGCGTAACTAATTACATATAACTTGACAAGGCATCAAAACGTGGATTTAAAATTGAATGTAATACTCTTTTATACTAAGCCATAACCTCCTAGCTACCAGAATAGCCACTCATAGCAGAGATGTAATTCTAATGTATTGTCTGCCATGAATGGTATCTATCACATGATAGTTCTTTTGATATTCTTATCAGATTTTTATCTTGGTCTTTTCACAGGTACTGGTATCTTGGGCCTCTAAAAATCAAAGCAGCCCACTTTTTCAGCACTCTTAAGGTAAATGTGATTTACAGTGTAGAAATTTGCTGTGTTATTTTGTTGTTTCTCTGTAATGCATATATTTGGTATTTTTTTTTAATTCCTTGCTACAGATGAATGTGGCATGCTTCAACACTAAAACAGGGCATGTTTGATTAAATACAAATATAGAACGCATTCCTGTTTTGATAAGCAATCACCCTTTATCTACCAATTCATTCCCTCTACTACCAAACCCATATTTAATCTCTCTTAAGCATTCTACTTGCCTTTGCTATTAATTCACTCTCTTGCCCGACAGACCTTGAACATAATGACATATTCTTCAGCGATTATTTTATGCTTGTCTATGTTAGTACCTGGAAATGAATTGAAGATTTGTATCTGAATATATAATATCTAATTGTACAGGTTTGTGTTTGTATCAGTAGGTTTCAAACTGTACCAGCTAAATATGGGCGGTGGTTACTGTATTGGAGAGTATAGATATGGAACATTTCCATGATCAGAAAAAGTTTTGTTGGGCACTGCTACTCTATATGATACAATAAAAAATACTGGCATAGAGAAAAGCCTAACAATTTTTATTAGTGAAAATGCTAATAGAAAAGTCATCTTTAACTGTGGACTACAGACTATATTCAGCTTTTATGCAAATCAAAGTGGTATATTGATAGTTTGGCCAATCTGAAAATTGGCAGATGGGGTTTGAATGTAGTGAGAAGGTTGGTTCCAATGTTAATATTCAGAGTTATTGAATGTTTTTCTAATTATAAAAGTAATACATGTTCCTTGCAAAACATTTGGAAAACATAGCTTCCTTTACCTTTTAAAAAAATTCTGGCTGGATTAAAAAATTAAATGTAAAACCCTAAAATCACTGAACTACTAGAAGTAAATGTATGTGATTTTAAAAATGAACTTTGCAGGGCAAGGTCTTTATATACCAAGGGCAAACTGGATTAGTAAAATCGGTTATTCCTCGAGTTTCATTGGTGGAGTTGTGAGTGCATTTAGGAAGAAATAGAGTAGCTACATATTTAAATGGAATATAAACTGTTGCCACTATTTATTCAGCAAACAATAGTTGACATATGCTTGGGATACAAAGTCAAATGAGACAGGTTTCCTGCCCTCAAGAAGTATTCAGATGCTGGGAGGGAAGTGTAAGTAAATCAGCAGTTTGGCAAGTGCTGTGAGAGAAAGATAGAAAGATTAAGAAGGGAGCAGAGAGGAGGGGCATCTAAATCTAATGAGGGTCAGAAAATCTTCCCAGCAGAGGAGACACACTAAATTTTGAAACATTTAAAGGCTGTGTGAAGTCACAGTGGTGTGACATGGCCCTTAATTATGATTAATGCAGTAAAATGGCAGGAAGTGAAGCCAGTGGGTTAGGTAAGGGCAGGTTATGGCGGGTTTTGATGTGCAATTTGACTTTTATCCTTAAAGCAATGGGGAGTTATTGAGTCTTGAGCAGAGGCATGAAATGAGCAGATTTGCATTTTAGAAAAATTGTTTTTTTCTAAACAGAAAAACAGATAGGATGTAGGTAGCTCAAGGCAAGGACATTAGATAGAAGGTTGTTAAAGTAGTCAGGTGGGAAGTGACGTATAGACTAAGGAGGTAACAGTATTGACAATAGAAGATGGATTAAAGAACTCTTAAGTTAGAACCTCAAAAGTCAGAAGAATGTAGGATTATCAGATTTCTGGTATGAGGGACTAGAGTTTGGTAACTGGAGTTTTCCACTGATGTTGGTAATACTAGAGTAAATCAAGTTTGTGAAGAGAGATGAAATTTTCAGTTTAATCTATGTAGAGTTTAACATACCTGTGGTACAGACAAGCAAAGATACAATTGTGATTTAGGTCGGAATTCAGCAGAGAGGTCTGGACTAAAGAAACAGATTCAAATGTCATAAGTGTGTGAGCGGTGTTGAAACCATGGGTTGGGTGAAATTACCATTGAGTACAGATGGCCAGGAATATCCCTAAGGGACATAAACATTTAAAGAACCACCAAAAATGACTGAGAAGTGCTAAGAGAAAATGCAGGAGAGAATACTAACATAGAAGCCAATAGAAGAGAGAATTTCAAGAAAAAAGTAAGAGTTTCGAGAAGCAAAAGCAAAGACTTTAAATATACAGACAAGAGAGTATCCATCGAATTTGGCAGCCTCCAAAAGCTGGGCAGCCTCCAAAGTGTGGTGGCTGAAGCCAGACTGAAGAAAGTCAAGAAATAAAAGTGATGTAAAGAAGTGGAGACAGCAAGGACACGCTACTCCTTCAAGAAACCTGACTTTGAAGAGAAGGAGATAGGGAAGGCAAAAGCTGAGAGAAACATGGGGTCAATATGGAATTTTTAAAAGTGGAGAATATCCATGTGTTTCTAGACTGAAGAAAAAGAAAAGAATGTGAGGAGGTGAGAAGGGAGACAGAAAGCATGACTGAATTGGCAAAATCCAAGAGCGGGTAGAAGGGCGTGGGATCCAGAGTACTGGATTGTCCCTGGACAGGACAAGGGGCACCTTTTTTCATTGATACAGAAGAGGAGTAAAGGGTAGGTCCAGATGAAAATGAGATTAGAGAAAGTTAAGGTATTCTCACTGATGTCCCTGATATTCTCACTGAAGTGTAGGAAGCAAAGTGATCCTGTCAGAAAGGTGGTGAGTAGTGGTATGGGGTATCCTGAAGAAAGATGAATGTAGGAGGAGGCTTAGGATTATCAAGTAGCACTGAAGACCTGAGGCTAACAATTTGTAGACATGAATGCTCCTTTGGGTGACTGCTTTTCCCTGTATTAATACTCAGCAGGAGTATCATTTTCTTCTCTAGTAATACTGAGCCATGATGTAAGAGTACAGGAACTTAATGACAAGGCTGATCCAGAACTGGGGCTTTTTAGGACATATTGTAGAAGAATAAAGACACAGGAAAGCCAAGAGTAAGTGGAAAAAGAAAGCACTTGAAAGTAATTGACTATCAGTTTGGCACTGAGGGGAAAATGAGTGGTCAGGGAGTAGAATCCTCAATGTGATTGAAAACTTGGTGCAGTTAGGTCTTCAGGGGCCCACAATAAAACCCCTCTCTTCCTCTTTTTAGTTTGAACCAAGGTATGAAAACAAATGCAGGAACTAGGCAGATGAAGATCAAAACGTCATCTTTATAAATGTCAGCAGGAGTGGAGGACAGAGCACAGATACGTGGTCTCTATCTGATCTCCTAATACTGTGAACAAAGGTGTCCATTGAAACAGCTCCTTCAGGGCAGAGACCACCACAAGAAGCTAATTTTCACCACATGAAAATTAGAAGCAGTGACCGTTTGAGACAAGGACAGCTGCTGTCAGAGAGAAAGGAAAGGGCTGGATCCATGCATTGGTCCTTCTAGACTTGGGGAGGAGTGAGTAAGCAGTGGAGTGAGAGAAGCCAGTGTTGCTACTGCTTTGTAATTCACCACCTGGAAACTTGAGAACAGGGAAGCATTTCACCCTAAGAGACACAATGGGCACAAAAGAATCAACCAGAAGAATATGGGATGTGATTAGAGAGCAGGATCTCAGGGTTTTAGATTTCCAAAGTGGAATAGTTCTGGGTGACATTAGGGGCCAGGATGTGGCCATGGAAATGGGTGGATGTGGTGAATCAGAGGTGATGTCAAGGGCTGAGAGGCTGGGGTATGGTTTTATTCATTCATGCGGTCAGGATGTGATCCAGGGTGACACTGGACTTGGGATGCCAGGACATAGAAGACAAAAAAAATTAGAGTGTGAGGGTGATGGGCTTTGAAGCAGAAGTGAGAAGCCTTGGGCTGGATTGTGAGCCTGGGCTAAACCATTCTGGCCTGTGTGTGGAATAAGATTCCAGAAGTGAGGTAGGTACTTGATGCAACTGGATTTCCTCAGTTTCATTTTGCATCACCATCTGTAAGCCAAAGATAAATTTATTACGGATGACCCTATGTTCATTCACCCTCTTTTTGGACAAATGTAAATGGTGGTGGTTAGCCAATTTTAGGGGGAGCAATGGAGGCAGTACTTGCTGAATTCATGGTTTTTAAGATGTAGCTTTAAGAGGAAAAGAAAGCTTGAGGATTCCATGCTCCAAACTAGCATTCCATCCAGTGAGAGGAGATTATTAGTTCACTTTCTAGCAGGTATAGGTAGACAAATAAATAACTTTTGCAGAGAGAAACTCCCAGAGTGGAATTGTACATGCATAACAAAATTTTTCTCTCTCCACATTAAAAGGAGTGGCCTCAGACTCATCAAGCCTCTATCTCATACACGGGACCTACAGAGAGACCTCCCAATGAACCAGAGGAGACCCCTGTACAAAGGCCTTCTTTGTACAGGAGAATATTACGAAGGCTTGCGTCCTACTGGGCACAACCACAGGATGGTGAGCAATGTGGCGACTAAAGATTGGAGGGCCCTGGTCAGTTTAGAAGTGCCCTAAAGTAGACCTCCAAAATCAGTTTTAGAGACTTAACTAGAGCAGGAGAAGCCTCTCAGGGATCACTGAATTCATCCTTCTGTGTGCCACCAGAGCAGGCCCAAGCAATGTGCCATCAATGGGCATAGCAGTCTCTGTGCACAGTCTTTCTGTTAACGTGACTGCTTTTGGTAGTGATGTTTTAGGCACAGAGATGCCATTTTTACCTCTATGTATAAGAAGCATGAAATAAATAAAATGAAGGCAGAGTCAGCAGAAAGGTTGAGAAGCTGAGCTGAGCAGCTAGCAGCTAGCCGTCCGTGGTGGGTGGTGAAATGTTAATGGAAGAAACTGACCTGTATCTAATGGATTCCCACAGCCCTTTCCCAAGAGGTGAGCCCGGAGGTCTGGAAAGATGTGCAGCTGTCCACCATTGAACTGTCCATCACAACACGGAATAATCAGCTTGACCCGACAGTAAGTGTGCTTTTTTATTAGAAAAGCATTTGGTACCTAAGAAAAGTGACAATAGCTATAGTCCTCTCCCACTAATTCAGTTATTTTTATTTTTACCCTGTGGAGATAGAGAGGGCAGTGTCAGGAGAAAGAGGATGTGGTGTGCCTTTAAGGAATAACAGCAATGAGGAGAAGCTGCCACCTGCAGGAGTGGCATAAATGCTTCTGGGGCTCTGATTACATGTTCTGCTCATTGCTTAATTGGCATTCAGAGAACTTAGGGCAAGAGGGCTTTAGAAATGAAAATTAGCTATTCCCATTTGTCACTGGAAAAAAATTGTGGAACTTTTAGTTGAGTAAATATCCACGATTTTTGTGACTGTACTAAATATGTCAAATTAGATCCTCAGGAGAAAAATACCCACACACATACATCTGTATCTATATCTACATATTATTTATTTAGGCCCAATCTATAGGTATGCACTATCCCATACGGTAGCTATTAGCCACATGTGGCTAGTTAAATTTAAATTAATTAGAATTAAATAAAATTCAAAACTTAGTTCCTAAGTCACACTCACCACATTTCAAGTGCTCAACAGCCATATGTAGCTAGTAGCCATCATACTGGAAAGCACAGGTATACAGCCTGTCCGTCAGTGCAGAAGGTTCTGTTGGGTGGTGCTACTATAGACAACACACCCAAAAGTATTGAAATAAAGCAGGCATTGGCAAACTGGTCTGCCACCTGTTTTTATATAGCCCAGAAGCCAAGAATCTTCTAATTTTAAATGATGCAAAGAAAATCAAAAGAATAATTTTTGTGAACAGAAAAATACGTAAAGTTCAAGTTTCAGTATCCATAAATAAAGTTTTATTGGAGCACAGCCATATTCATTCACAAATATATTGTCTGTGGCTGCCTTTGTGCTACAGGGGAGAGCTGAGTAGTTGTGACAGATTGTATGGCCCAAAGCCTAAAATGTTTATTATCTGGTCACTTACAGAAAAAGTTTACTGACCCTAGTATAGAGAAAACCTTGGTAATTTATATCAATGAGAATGCCAATAGGAAAGTAATTGTTAACTGTGGACTAATTACATTCAGCTTGTATGCAAATTAGTCTGTTCACAGTTGTCTAGGCCAGTCTGAAAATTAGCAGATGGAGTTGGAATGTCGTGAAAAGTTTGATTCCAATATTAATAGAGTGATAAGTTTGATTCTAATATTAATGTTCAGAGTATTGAGATGTTTTCTAACTATGAAAATAATACATGTCCATTGCAAAACATTTGGAAAACATAGCTCCCTTCACCCTATAAAAAAAATTCTAGTTTGATTAAAGAACTAAATGTAAAATAATAAAATCATTAAAGTAGTAGGGTAAATGGCACACGTTTATACCTATGTAACAAGGCTGCGCCTCCTGTGTATGTATCCCGGAACTTAAAATAGAAGTTTGAAGTTAAAAAAAAGTATTAGGGTAAAATCTAAGTGATTATCAGTATAAAATTAAGGAGGACAAGGCCTCTCTAAGCATGACATTTAAGGCAAAAATCATATTGATGCATTTGTCTTTTTATTTAAAAAGACATTCTAAACAAACTTTTAAATGACATATTGGGAAAAATATTAGCATGTGATAGACCAGGAATTCACTTTCCTTTTAACAAGCTCTTAGGATAAAGCAATGAGAAATGGGCAAAGGACTAATATAAAAAGTGAGCAAGGGGTAAGAATAGAAAATTCATAAAAGAAATAAGCATATGAAAAAATAGCTTATATTTGCTGATTATTTACTACATGTGAGGCACCTGTCCTAAGAATTTTACATAATATTATGTAATCCTTATAGGTAGATATCTTTATCTGCATTTTGTAGGTAAGGAGACAGAGTGATTTCAGCAAAGAAATGCAAATTAAAATAGTAAGATTGAATTGTCATGACTAAAAAGCATGTTATAGATTAAAAGCTTAGTGGTGGTGTGTGTTTCTGATGGGAATATAGATTGGAACATCCTGTCTCAGCAATTTGGCATAGTATACATAAAGTGTCTAAAATATATGCATACCTTCTGCCCTATTAACTGTATTTCTAGGAATTTATCCTACTGGAATAACCTGATGAATATATAATGTAGGCAGTCCTTTTTTACATAATGGAAATCTGAAAAACACTGGTGAAAGTGGATATGTGAATGCTAAAAAAAAAAAAATAGATTCTGTTCCAGAGGAATTTAAAAGAGAAAGATAAAATGTCTAATTATACATCTCCTTTATACCAAGTCTTTAATAATATGTATTCCGAGTATTTTATTCATGTTCTTTACCATTGTTCTTTTCTCTGATGACTGAGTACCACTGAATGGATTGAGTTCAGTGAGTATGTGAGTGCGCTCAAGATTAGCCACACTCACAATGCCAAGTGCTTTTTATCTTTGTGCCTATTTAAAAGTATACGATACTGTGCCGCTTATCACTAGTAGCAGCAAATTCATTTGTTTCGTTTTTGCACAGTTCTTTATAAAAATAAAAGCAAATGCAATACAATAAAGGCAGTGTAGCTGCCGTGTAATAGCTCAAAATGTTCACTTATTAAAAGCAGCACATTCAGTGTATGAAAGAAGCTGTAGGAGTATAGAATGTGTGAAAATTAGGATCTCTTATACAACTATGCTCACTGTATAATAGTAAAATATTTGCAATGAACTAATCAGACTGAATAAATTTTGGTACATTTATTAAAAGTCATATCTATTTTATATATGTATTATTTTCTATCTATTGACATGGGAAAAATAGGTGAAAAGATTTGCAACATAGTTCCATTTTTCTTTAAAAAGGAAATACCCCCACTTATAAGTGAGTTTTGTGAATGATGGAGGTAAAGCTCCAATTTTATGTTCTTTCCAAATAGAAAGCCAGTTGTCCAAGCGCCATTTATTGAAATCTCCATTTTCCCCCATTGATCTTCAATAAACCTCTGCCATACATCATGTCTATATACATGTAAATGTTTCTAGTCTCTTTCTTCTATTGTTGTTCCATTTTCTCATATTTATACTAATACTCTGCTTCTCTTATTATAGTTTTATAATAAGTTCTATGTTTTTCTCTTTTTACACAGTCTCTTGGCTATTCTTAGCTCATTTGAGTTCTATAAATATTTTAGAATGTTTATTTTATTAAATTCCACATAAAAATGTTATAATATTGATCTCACTGCATTGTACCCATAGATCAATTTGGAGAGAAATGACATTTCTACAATATTGACTCCTCTAGCATATGAACGGGGTATATCTCTTCATTTATTTAGGTCTTCAATGTCTTTCAATGAAGTTTTATAGTTTTCTCTGGAATATCCTGTCTTTTGCTGGATATATTCCCAGTTATCTTAATTTTTATGCTATTCTAAATAATATCTATTAAAATTTCATTTTCTACCTGATTTAGTAGATGGACATATAATTGATTTTTATATCAATGCTGAATCAGCAACCTAATTAAATTATTATTAATTATTCTAACTTTCTTTCAATGAATTCTTTCAAATTTTCTACAGATTTAGTCATGGCCAATGCAAATAGTGCAAGGTTTGTTTTCTCTCTTCAAATACTTATCCTTACAATCCTTCATTTTACTTAGAGCACTGGATAGGACCTCAGTACATGGTTAAATAGAAGTAGCAGTAACAGGAGTCCCCATCGTCTTTCTTATTTCTGATTTAGAGAGAAAGTCTTCATTGCTTCATGCTTGTATTTAATGTGCTTTCTTTTTTTATAGACACCCTTTATCAGATTAAGGCAGTTCCTTTCTATTCCCAGTTTGCTAAGCATTTTTATCTTTCATGTTAAATATCTTAGATATTTAATTTTATCAAGTACTCTTCCAGCATCTATTGAGATAATAAAGTTTCCTCATTTAATCTGTCAAAGCAATAAAATGAATTGATTTTTGAATGTTAATGTGAGACTTTTGGCCAAGATGTAGCAAAAAGCACCAGCTTTATACCTTAAACACCTTAAAAATTGGACAAAATCTTTGAAACAACTATATGAGACATTGGTATGAGACAAGCAGCATAGGACAGTGAGTCCAGAGAGCAAGAAGTTGAACACAGTGAGCCTGATGCTTGCCCGAGGTGACTGCTGGAGAGAGGCCACAGCCTGCGGAGAGGGAGCCCACACAGAGCCCATGCCCTACCTCAGTTGAGGGGTCTTTGAGAATTTGAGAAATCAAGGCAGCTAGAATTGCAAGGCAGGATACAAGAGAGCCCCATGGAGAGGAGAGCCGCACCCAGAACCAAGCTAGAGGTTTACGGAGGTGTCCTCTGGAATCTTCAGCTGAGTACTGACAGGTGCATGCATGTGAGAAACCACCACCCGAGATAGAGGTTGAGTTACCTACCAGTGAGCAGGCGGGACAGTCTCAGGAGAGTCAGTCCTCTCACAAAGCCAGGAATAGTTCGTGTTCAAACCAATTAGAGTAGAAAATCCTCTTCAGACATGGGGCATTGGGTAGTGTCCTCAGAAAGGTATTGCCTCAGTAGTGAGTCAAAATTAATTCTAGACTAAAGGCTGCCCTCTTCCCTGTTAACAAAGCTAAAGGCTCACCTCCAAAGAACCACAGTTTCTTTCTAGGTAACTTAATTGTGCCTCCAGAACAAAGCTTTAGAACAGGGGTCAGCAAAGGACAGCCCACAGGCCCGACTATCCTGCTGCCTGTATTTGTACAGCCTTGAAGCTAACAATATTTTTTACATTTTTAAATCATTGAAAAAAATCAAAAGAAGAGTATTTTTCCCCGTTACGTGTGGAAATTGTCTTCAAATTTCAGTGTCTTTAAGTCAAATTTTACTGGAACACAGGCAGGCTAATTCATTTGAGTATATTCTCTGGTTGCTTTCAGCTACTATGGCTGAGTTGAATAGCTGTGAGAGAGACCTCATGGTCTGCAAGCCTACAGTGTTCACTCTCTGGCTCTTTACAGAAAATGTTTCCCGACCCTGTTCTAGCTGAAGTGTGGCTCTCCCCTGAGTTTTGCCTTTCCCACAGTCTTTAAGCAGTGGCTGTGCTTTCTTTCTTTTCCTCCCCTTGTATGCTGGGCCTGGTGACTTGGTGGTTGTCCTCCTGACTCATCACTGCTTTAACCCATTCTTCCTCCTCCTCTCTAACTACCCCCCCACCCAGCCCCACCTCTCAATGTCCTATTGTCAGAGCAGATCATTGCTCCTGGGAGCTCCTGAACCCTGGGCCGTTCTTACACATTTATCTATAATGTTAATTCCTAGCCCACTGTCTCCCTCTCCAATCTACTCCTGTCTTAATTCTCAACACGGCAGCCAGAGTGATCCTATTGAAATGAAGCCAGAACATATTTCCCTCCTTAGAACCCTCCAGTGGCTCTCTGATTCATTCAGCCTAAAAGCCAGCTTCCTCGCCATGGTCTATGAGGCTCTGCTGATGTAGCTCCTCTCTTCCCTGTCTTCCTCACTTGTTGCCCCTGTCATTCGCTCTGCTCCAGCTACACGGGCTTCCTTGCTGTTCCCTGCTGTCAGACATGTTCCCCCAGCACCACCTGAAGGCCTCCGCCCCAGTAGTTCCCCTTGTGTGGATTGCTCATCCCCGGATTAGGGGTTCTCAAAGTCCAGTTCTCAGATCAGCACATCAGTATCACATGGAAGTTGCTCGAGATGAAAATTCATGGGCCTCACCCCAGATCTACTGAACCAGAAACTTGGGATGGGGCCAGAGTCTGAGTTAAAAAAAAATTATTTTTATTGATTGATTGATTGAGACGGAGTTTGACTCTTGTCACCCAGGCTGGAGTGCAATCGTGCGATATTGGCTCACTGCAATCTCTGCCTCCTGGGTTCTAGCGATTCTCCCGCCTCAGCCTCCCGAGTAGCTGGGATTACAGGCGCCCGCCACCACACCCGGCTAGTATTTGTACTTTTAGTAGAGACGGGGTTTCACCACGTTGGCCGGGCTGGTCTCGAACTCCTGACCTCGGCTGATCCGCCCGCCTCGGCCTCCCAAAGTGCTGAGATCACAGGCGTGAGCCACCGCGCCTGGCCAAAAATTATTTATTTTTTAGTTGACAAACAAAAACCAGAGTCTGAATGTTACCTGCTCTACAGTGGCACCTGCTAAAGTTTGAGAACCACTGCCCTGGGTGGCCACATCGCCGGCTCCCTCACCTCCTTCAGGCCTCCTCTCCAAGGCTTCTCCACGGGACCCCCTTTTTCATAACACAGCCACTGCCATCAGCGCCACCTCATGTTCCTTGCTCTGCTTCTTTGATCTTATTTTCTAATAAACTCTAATATAGTTGTGGCATCCTTATCTTCTAACAGAGTTTATAATTTACTATGATCCATCTATTCCCTCCAGTCTCTACAGTAGAAAGTAAGTTCTTTGTAGGCAGAAAGTCATGTGGGTTTTGTTCATTGGTGTAACCCAAGCTCCGTGGGTTCATGGTGCATGACTGGCACTCAGTAAGTAGTTAAATAAAAGGTGAACTTTCAAAGTCATCCACTTTATGTTTTGTAATTCTTAGTTGAGAGTTCTTTGTTAGTTACCCTTTAATCTTAGGCAAAGGCTTTAAGGCTCTCAGAGGCCTCAAATCCTGGGCCTGAACATTTTGAACCTACCCCAAAAGAAACAAGACCTCTATTTGAAGCTGACATAGAAGTTGTGGGATTGATTTACAGAGGGCTAGGTTTGTATGGCTAGTCACTGACTGGTAGCAAATTATGGGAACTGGTCCAAGAACCAAGTCTGTTTTGATAGCCATTTTGTCGTAGCTCAAATCATCCAGAGCTTTCTGTGGCTGGAAATGGAAAGTTTTTAAACATTACCATAGAATAAACGGATTGCTGTTTTCCAACTCTGGTTGCACACCAAATTTGTATGTAGAGCATTAAAGAAGCACAGGCACTTGGGCTCTCCACACCAAGCAGCCGATTCCATGCTGTCATGTGAAGCTCATGTACAGTGAACACTGAGATTGCTGGGATGGGCTGAAAGCTTGGCCTGCAAGGGAAGTAATCCTAGAGACTAGAACGGCTAATAATTACTAGTGAGTGACAGAACGTCCAGAACCTCCCACTCTGAGTTTTGTTTGCTTATGTAGTAAAAAAAAAAGCCAAGCAATGGAGATGAATTTTCTATAAATTATACCTCAGTAAAGCTCTTTGTGAAAAAAAAAAAAAAAAAGATTGAAAATAGGTTTGGAATTAAATCACTACAAGTAGAGTCCCCTATCTATATATAGCTTCAAACTATGAACCATCAAAGCTGAGGATGACAACAGGCTGCATTAGCCAAATTTTAAGAGTAATGACGTTAGTGTTCTTAACCTTTTTAGAGCAAAGAAGATTTTCTGAATATCTGCATTGAACCTGACACCATCAGCAAAGGAGACTTTATAACTATAGGGTAAGTGGACTGGGGTTCACAGGAAATGAGGCTTGTGATTTTCTCAGATTTTACTATTCAGAGTGCCCCATGAAGTCTAAGACAGAAATCCAGCCAAAGCCTTGTCTTGTTTGGGAATTTCGATGTTATTTCTTTCCTATGGGCTGACATGTAGAGTGCCCCTCTCCTATGCTGGCCATCACTGTTCATTTTGTGGGGATCAGAATGTAAGAGCAGTCTTTGTTTTTCAATTGAAACCAAAGAATTCAATGGAGCATGACACAGCGTCAAGAACTTTGGTTTCAGGGTCAAAGAGCTGAATGCAAATTTTGATTCTGCCACTTACCCGACGTCATGACTCGGATCATTTAGCATCTCTGAATTCTTTCCGTCTACAGAATGAAATAATCATCTCTGCCGATCTCAGGACTGGCTTTCAGCCTTGAGTAAGAGAATGTGTGTCAAGCCTTTTTATATTTTGAAGCACTTCACAGTATCCATTACTATTTATGTCAGTTCACCATGTCCTCCTATTCCCAGGGCCTTCATGAAAAACTGGAAAAGGTATTGAGTACCTTGGACATTTCCCAGGCCTTTTTCCCTTTTCCAATACAGAATACCCTTCCAAGTTCTGTGATTTGTTAAGTCCTACCTCTGCCAGAATTTTATTGGTAAAGAACACTATAAATCCTCCTTCAGGGCATCTGAGGAGCTGGTGTGTTCCCATGCCAACTGGTAATCTGCTCAGCTCCGCTTTTCTGTGCTTTGTCTCAGAGCTCCCTCTCGTGCCCATTTAGGGATCACACATTTCTGCTGCAGCGGCCTGGTCTCCATGGCTACTTCATTATCTACACAGGCACATAAGTTTGTTGTTCTTGCCTTTGGCATAAATTCTTCAGAGACTGAATAGCTGATTCTGCAGCCTTTGATTTTCTTGCTGTATCTATAAGAAGGGAAAATCCTGTTCCTTCTACAGAATGTCCAGAAATCACACAATCTTCATTGACAGTCTGGCCAGTGAGACCAGCAATATTCAAATCTCCTTTATGATACTGGTATCCAGAAATAGAGACCCCAATTCTATTGCTAAGGTTAGGCGAAGCCACTATGTTCTGCATTGTTAGCACCAGTGGCAGCCAGTGTCCTTCTGTTCTCTACAGGAAGTGAAATCAAGTAATGTCTGTTTCCTCTGGATATCTGAAGAGAACATAGTGAAGCTGCGTTAGAAAACTCTGATACCGTTTTGTAGAGTTACTGTTGTTAATAAATGATAAATGGACTGATTTACTTAGATTAGCTTTTACTGTATTTCCACTGCCTAAAAGATACATCTGCATGAGGTGGAGTGTGTGTCTGTATATGCGCTGGAAATTTTACTCCATAGTCACTCAGTCAAGGTAGATATTGTATGCCAAGTAGACCGCGTTATAAATACAGTCATCCCACGGTATCCTTGGGGTATTGGTTCCAGGACCTCCCTCAGATACCAAAATCCACAGGTTGTCAAGCCCCTTCTATATAGTGGCACGGTATTTGCATAGACTTAGGCACGTCCTCCCTATGCACACTAAATCATCTCTAGATTACTTATAATACTCAATATAATGTAAATGCTATGTGGATGGTTGCTGTCCTGTATTCTCTAGGGGATAAGATAGTCTGTACGGATTCAGTACAGGTGCAAAAATATGTATTCTCTATCCTCAGTTGGTTGAATCCACGGGAGTGGGACCCACAGATAGGAAGGGTTATCAGAGAACTTCTAAGACTAGTTGTTCATATACATAAAAGAAATATCTACATTAAAGTAAAAATATTTTATCCTTCAAGTAATCACAAGAAGTACCAAATACCAGACGTTTAGTACTTTTCCTAAAGAATTTCATTCTAATTTTTAAATTTGAGACTAACAATCTAAGAATTAGGTACATGTGGAATGATTATTTTTAAATCAATCAATTTTTAAATCAAATTAAGAGCATTTCAGAGAAAGTCATAACTTCATGCCCAGTTCTCTACTTTCAGTCTAGAATGTATCACAAGGCTAAGCAAGAATCACTGTTGGAAAAATTATTTACAGAATTCTATGGCTTAATAGACCATCTGTCCACTTATGTAAGCTCATAAAAAGGGGGAAAGAAGTTGCTACATTGTTGCAACCTAGTGCAGTTGCCATCACTGGTCTTAAGCTTGCTTTTTCCTGTGCTCACAGAAGTCGAAAGGTGAGAAACCCCAAGCTGCACGTGGAGGGCACGGAGTGTCTCCAAGCCAGCCAGTGCACTTTGCTTATCCCGGAGGTGAGTGGGGAAGGGGTCGGTAGTCACAGCATTTGATTCGTTCGTCATCGGCCTGCCCCTCTGTGGTGTCCCATCCTTCCTCTCTGTTAGCTGACCTAGACTTAGGCACATATTGTGTGCCAAGCATTTTGCCAGGCTCTGGGTCATATTAGCGGGGAGCTGAAAAGGATGGCAGAATCTCCTTGGGAGTCATGGATTTAGAGTTGGACTTCTGAAGACTCCCATCGTTTTCGAACCAAGGTTCTTCCCTAAAGTGAGTTTTAGGTCTCCTTTTATTTTTCCATATGTAAATAATGCAGAAGGTTACTACATTAAGACACATAGAGAATTGTCTAGCTGGCAAATGTTAATAGTGGCTTTTACTTTAACATTTTTTATAAAGGATCTGGAAGCAGTTTTCAGTTCAACACTGAATTTTTCTGTATTATGAAATGCCATGCTTAGAATAACCTATGTAAGTGAAAAAAATTGGAAATAGAATCTGGAATTGGGAGGTTATTCAATTGTCAATACGGAAAAAAAGGAGGCTCTTCATATAGCCTTTGAAGACATGTGGCCATATATTACTGTATTCAGACAAGACTATAGGTAAACAGAAGGTATCCCCATAGTGACTGGCGTCACAGTTTCGATATAAATATTGAATTAAATGCATGAGTTATGGAAGGGTTTCATAGACTGTAATGATATTAATGTTGATACACCTTGGGTATATCAAGCTAAACAAGTCTTAGAGAATAATGAAAATGATCCAGCAGATACAATAGCATGTCATAAGAGAATTAGCTGTCTTTATTTTTATTTGAGAAGGATTAGCATAATATAGAAAGACTATGTATATGAGTTCCTTAAGACATGGCAGGACCCTTGCCTTTTAATACATATTTGAAAATTATAACCATGTTGTTCAAATCCCAAAATACTCTGGGAGGAGATAGGGGCCAAAAAAAGAAAATAAATCCTTTTTCATGGATGGTAGAATTAGGATGTTTCCAGAACCAGCACTGTGCCCATCGTAGTAGGCACTGAATTTTTTTTTGTAAAAGAACATTAGGATAGCTCCTCAAGAGAGGATGTTGTTTTCCATAATGAACTTCTTCTGGTGCTGCTGTGAGACCTCCAACTCCAGTAGGCCACTGATGTGTTTGAGCTGTTCTGAATATTCTCTTCTCCCCAGGGAGCAGGGGGCTCTTTTAGCATTGACAGTGAGGAGTATGAAGCGATGCCTGTGGAGGTGAAACTGCTCCCCAGGAAGCTGCAGTTCTTCTGTGATCCTAGGAAGAGAGAACAGATGCTCACAAGCCCCACCCAGTGAGCAGCAGAAGACAAGCACTCTGAGACCACACTTTAGGCCACCGGTGGGACCAAAAGGGAACAGGTGCCTCAGCCATCCCAACAGTGTCGTCAGAGGGTCCCCAGGGCATTTTCATGGCAAGTACCCCTCTGCCCCCACTCCAGCAGTGCTTCCCAAAGTGTGCTCTGTCACCTGCTTTGCAATCGGCTTCCATTAGCGCATGTTTTATTTTGGTGTGACGGTTGGCCCTCCTAAACACGGACTTTCCTCAGGCTGGTTCAAGACGGAAAAGGACTTTCTTCTGTTTTCTTCCAAAGTGCAACCACAGTGGAGAGCCCACGGTGGGCTTAGCCTGCCTAGGCCCTTCCATTTCTCTTCTTTGACCGTGCTAGGAATTCCAGGAAAGTGCATTCCTGCCCTGGTGACCTTTTCCTATGTCTAGGCTCCTCCACAGGTGCTGCTATTTTGTGAGCTCCGGCTCCTGTTTAGCTTTTATTTCAGTTCTAACCTCAGTCCAGAAACATATGTGAGGTTGTTTCCCTCTTCAGCCACGGCTACAATACCGGAAAATGCTAGTTTTTATTTATTTTTTTAAGTAGTGCTTCCTAAATGGTTTGCATGAGAGCCACCTGGGGTACATGTTGAAAACTTATTTGGGGTCTACCCCAAACCTAATAACCCAAATTTGGGGATGGGGCCCAGGAATATGCATTTTTAAAAAGTCATCTGCCCTTCCCAGGTGATTCTGTAAGTTGTCCCTCAACTGTACTTGGAGAAATCGTGTTTTAAAGCAGTAGTCCACAAAGTATTCTGCTCATGTGCCCCCAAAAGTATTTTGAAAAATCATGTATACCCTCACCCATCTAAGTTGATATCTAAAATTTTATCTAAGTTGGTATCTAAAATTTTTCATGGGAAGTTAAATAGTTGACAAAGTATGTATTTGCTGGTGTCGTGTAAATATTGGTATTTTAAAATAAAAACTGTTACATCACTATTTTAAACATATCCAGTACAATTTAAATATCACAACAATTTGACACCCTTCATTCATTTATAAAAATAAATGAGCTAGTTCTTTAGTAGTTAAACATTTCAAATTGGCTTTTCTCCTTCTGTATTTCCATACCACTTTTCAGCCAAGAATCCTATCATAATGTAATCTATTATGCCCGACATCTTTTAATCATTCACCCCATTACTTCTTGTCAACAAAAAATATAAATGGAAATTTTTTTTTTAGCTCTTGCTTTAAGTGTTTGTTTGTTATCTCAGTCCAGAACCAATATTATCGTAATTAATTATTGGTATATAATGAAAACGGTATTAATTCTTGGATGATTAAAAGTTTTTTTATTAGAATGTTCTTTATCCTAATTAGTTCATTTATCCAAGAATACATGAATGTGATTTACAGCTGAGATGGGGTTCAACCTCAGCTGTATTCCTTGTTTCTGTATAGATGTAAGCACATAAATTCGATGGAATAGAATTACGTTAACAATGTTTTTACAGTTCTTTGGATTCCTTTGGCATTTTGACAAAGATCACAGTGCTCTATCATCAAGAATTATTAATGATGATCTATCAACTAACAAACAACTTGATTAGATTCTCCTTTAGTCTGTTGAAAGCAGAGAACTGAAATCCACCTGATTTACCATGGCTTTGCCAGCCAGTCATTAGCACCATTTACTTTTACTATCGCTGACATTTTCCTTTGTTCAGTGGCCCTGAGGTTCTTACACTCTAGGGGGCAGTGCACCACAGGAAGATAGATCAATGAGGGAGGATTGCGAGGGGGAAGGGGAGGAAGCAGAGCTGGCAGGCCTTAGCTACAGGCTCTCTCTCAGGCAGATCCCTTTTAAGATACATACACCATGCCCACACATCCCATGGAGAGAGACCAATGCTTTAGTAGATTACAGAACAGCTATGAAAAGTCCATGAATGAAGATCACAAAAAGGAAGGCTTTCTTATTTCATACTGTATTCTTCAGGGTGGTAAAATTTCTGCTTTTGGCAAAAACATAACAGACGGTTCCAAACATCAGCATAAAGATCACTCATCCCATACCACCCACAGGTAGGGAGGAAGGATGCTGTAGTATATGAAAACAAAAGTTTTCACCTGAGCTGAGAGCATTTAGCATATCGTGGTTCTGTAACAATATCAAGGACCAGTGCAGAATCTGGCTTTCTTTTCTGATAGGCTACCAGTGTGTGTTTATGTGTGCTCATTTTGTGGTTCTAATCATAATGGTACATATAATTAGGGAAGGATATGGAAGCCACTTTAGAATCTTATTCATTTTTAAATATAAATATGCCTTGTTTCAAACTTTGTTTTCTTGATTCAGGCTTTCTTTCCTGTGAGGGCTTGGTTTCCTTATTGTTGACTGCTTTGTTCTTTGCCTTGTCCTTCCCTATAAAGCCTGCATGGAAGACGTTTAATAGTGCAACTAAAAGAGAGTCAGCTGAGTGAGGCTTGTCAGCCAAAGCTGGAATGCTGAGCTATCTGGAGGAGATCCTAATAACCCAATTTGGGGATGGGGCCCAGGAATCTGCATTGGGAAGTCGGCCACCCTTCCCAGGTGATTGTTTAGTACAAACTTTTTGACAGATTAATTTCACTCAAATGCAAAGATTAATCCCAGCACTTTGGGAGGCCAAGGAAGGTGGATCACCTGAGGTCAGGAGCTCGAGACCAGCCTGGCCAACGTGGTGAAATCCCATCTCTACTAAAAATACAAAAATTAGCTGGGCATGGTGGCATGTGCCTGTAGTCCCAGCTACTCTGGAGGCTGAGGCAGGAGAATCGCTTGAACCCGGGAGGCAGAGGTTGCAGTGAGCCGGGATCGCACCACTCTGCACTCCAGCCTGGGTGACAGAGCAAGACTCCGTCTCAAAAAAAAAAAAAAAAAAAAAAAACCGTAGTTGCTTTCTATTAAGATAGGGTTTTAAATAAAGCTTTTTTCCTTTCCCTCACAGCTGTTTTGCACATATCTGGATGCAGTTATATTTCCTAAGTGCCAGTGCTTCACATATGTAACTGATGCATCAGTTCTCACAACAACCCTAGGAAGTAGCTACAGGTTGAGCATCCCTAATCTGAAAAGGCGAAATCTGAAATGCTCCAAAATCCGAAAGTTTTTGAGTGCCACCATGATCCTTAAAGGAAGTGCCCAGTGGAACATTTTGGATTTTGGATTTATAATGCAAAGATTCTAAAATCCTAAAACATCTGAAATCTGAAAATACTTCTAAGTCCCAAGCATTTCGAATAAGGGATACTCAGCCTGTAATAATATATGGTTACATAGCACAGAAAATAGGAACCTGACTTTGAATCCAGGCCATTTGATTTACAGAGCCACCGATAGCAATGTACTCTATACCGGTTCTAAATACATACTGTAACTCCCCAAGAGGTTAAAAATGAAATAAAAGTTTAGAATATACACATATACCAAATATATATCAAGTACATAAAGTTTTAAACTGAACTTTGATAAGAGAGTTTGTAAAGTAAAAGGGTGGTGGTCTCTGTGGGATTCTAGAAGTTTCCTGATGTAATTAAGGGTACACAGCCCTGGCTCTTCTGGGTGGCGCAGTTATTCCCAACTTTGTTTCCCATTACCTGGAGAAAGTTTGTCCAGACCGTGGCTTCTAGAAGGACAGGTAGCAGCTCCCCAATCTCCTCCATCATCACTGTAAGTGAAGTCAGGTTCAGCCCCCACAGGCTCTGCTCATGGAGTAGGCCACCATTCCTTCCTACCACAAACCACATTTCTCGGACTGGAGAAGGGATTGCAGCACGCACGTTCATGTTAAAATGTGAACTTTAATTGTAAAAATCATTTTCTGTAAATATAGTTATATCAACCTCTCTGCACACAACTTGGTTCAGATATATACAGATATGATATTCATAGATGTTATTTGTACCACAGAACAAAATCAATTCAAGAAACATTTACTTTTAGCTTCAGGATTAACCCCAGCTTTCTTTAGGCCTTAAAATTACCACCACTGGAAACAGAGAGAGAGCACGGCATACCTGGGCACACCAGTATTCAGGGCAAAATCTATGCAGTGTCTTACTAATTTCATACTATGAGGTAAAGACCCGAAACAAAAATAGATTCAGTCTCTCGTATTGCTATAACTCTTAGGCTGGGGTATTAATCAAAATAGGATTTTTACATTTAAGGCGACAGGGAGGCTATGCTGATTCTAACTCAGAAAGAAATGGGAAAACAGTTTTTCTAAGGCTACAACTATTTGTTTAGGCTTATTTTCCCGGACCTATACAAAAATTCAGTCAACAAGTTTTGGGTAAATAAAGGAAATTCATTTTGCTTTCCTCTGCTCTGTCCCTGAAGTCACTCATCCAGGTTGGCTGCTCAAACACCAAGAATCTCCACCATTCTTCACTTGACAGTCTTTGTGGACACGTTAGACCCAAACTTTTTTTTGTATAACACCATCTTAAAATTTTTTAGTATACTTTATCTTTCTTTAGTTTACCCAAAGGAAGGAGTTTTCACTCTAATGTCAATATATTTGCAACCATCCAACTCAAAGACCTCTGTGTCGACTGTTCACTTTGTGGATCATCTCTGGCTCATTTAAAACATCCTGCCTCATCCCCACATTCGCTGACTGGCCTTAGAAAGCAAAGTAAATTTATTGTTAGTCTAAATAAGCATTCTATAGCAAACATAAGTAATTCACACCTGGCCTACTATGAAAATTAAATTTTCTGAATTTAGATCATATTAGCTCTAAAAGCCCCACAGTATGCTAAAAATCGAAAATAAATTCTAAAAAGAGGAAAGCAAGGCTTTTGTCTCCATCATCATTTCTTTATATAGCACTAGAAAATTCTTATTCCCCTTCTAAATTTGCAATTTCATCCAACTGCCCCTAAATTCTAGTTCCAAAAACAAATTAAAGTGCCAGTTATAACACTACCTCCCACTCCCACCTCTCTCAAGAAAGAGGCCTAAAAATAAGAATGATGACATTTACCCTTTTTTGTACTAGAGCTTTACTGAAGGTTGGTATTTTTATGTCAACCTTCCTAGGACTGTCAAGTCTGCCTCCTAAAGAGCGCTGTCAGGATTTCATAGCACAATCTCCTTATTCACTCTCCAAATTATTTACATAGTAAAACTTCTATGGGGTCTCAGCCACCACCAAATTACAAAACTGCCCATTTCTTCTAGAATAATAGTTTTAAAATTTCCTTCCATTTCAGTATATGCATACTCAGTTCATCACATAGTAATATCAATAAAAAAATAAACTTCCATTTCTTATAAGAAAAACATTAACTTAATTCACAGTTAGCCTTTTCCCACAACACTCAATACTCCAGTAGCTTCTAGGAAGAGAGGTATATTAGTGATAAAAATGGAATATTAAAAATCCATGACTTGGGAGTAAACGGAGCCCTTAACTCCTCCTCTCCCCCTACCTGAATCACAAAAGGGTTTTCCTGAAATGAGAGGGGATGGGACTGGGGTCAGCAGGATTCTCACCTCGGTCTAACTACAAGGTACGGGGAGAAGACAGGAGGGCTGGCCATTTGGCAGAATCCAAGCCTACTAGCTTGGGATCTACTAGGGAGATAAAAGCCCATGCCTGGCATATTGGTCCCCATTCTAATTGTCTTGCCCATGTTAGACCTGTCATCACACTAAGGCAAGTCCACTGCCAAGCTGAGCATTATCCTATTTTATTCATCCACCTGCCCCTCCTCCTTTACCTCTGCAAGGTTGACCTATACAGGGTCTGGAGAAAGCATCTCAATCCATTCCCTGGGCTATACAGTTTCGAAGGGAAATAAATGGTCCCTCGGGTTTCTGCCTTTTCTCGGAGGGTTGATGTCCTAAAACTGAAAGCCTAATTCATTACTGTCCTTTACAAAAGCTTCCCTGAAGGCCTCAGTTTAAAGATGAGTGATTTCATCTTTTACTGTGTTTGAAGGGCTTTCAGTGCATCAAGACTGAGAGCAAATTCATCCTCATAGCCACCAGAAGGAAAAACAATGATTTAGCTAAGATTTAATTTATCTTCTAGCTAAAGTGTCATCGGTAGTCACATGATCAACAAATGTTCACATGTGGCATCTGGAAGCATGTGCACCTGTGTGCTATCTTAACTTTCTTGTCTTGACTTTAAAGTGGAACAAAACAAGGTAAGTTATAGATGCAAGTTCCTAAGCTAAATTACTTCTATTGATACATCAATGATTTCAGCTTCCCTCCCCCTAACCAGGTGGAAGCACAGATGCTATAATGGATGATGGATATGGAAGGCAAAAGCCTTCTAATTCATTGCAATCATAATTTACTGAGGACTGTACAGGTCCCAGGTGGGACACTGACACTGGAATGGTCTCTACCAGGCATAGGGAATGGTTCGTGTTTAAAGGCCAAGCAAATTCTAAACACATAATTTGGGCCATACTTTTAGTCTGGTAGGGGATAAGCCCTACCATTTCAAACTCCTTGTGGAGAGTCCTAAGCCAGGGGCCAACTGGACATTTTCCCAAAGGCTGGGCAGTATCATCTGCTGAGCCTACAGAATTGAAAATGCCCTCTTGAACAGGCCTTTGTCATATTTTGCATGGATACCAACGAGCCCCAAACCTGAATTCCACTCCCACCTGGAACTTCTTCTGACTTATTCAGGAACAACAGGGCAGCCCAGCCAGCATCTCAGGTCAGCAATCATTTCCAAACTGGCACATAGTTCATTTCACAGTGTGGCATGAGATCAGGCTGACAGCTTCACAGGAGAACTAGGCCTGCTCAGGCAGGCGAGGGCTGAGGCCCGGCAGGAGATGGTGGCAGAAGGTGTCACACCACAGGTATCCAACCCTCCTCCAGGAGGCCGGTGGTCATCATAATGCCCGCCCCTAAAGAGCTTACAGACCTAGAAGTCTGTGAACGATGTTCAGCACTTTCTTCTGAACAAAAGCAGATGGTTTCTCAGAAAATATTTCAAGACTGGCAGAAAAGCAGGTCCACATGGCTCCTAGCTTCTGCTGCCACTGTGGAATTCCCTAGTAGAGAACTGGTAGCAAAGGATCCTAGGTTGTGCCTGTTAATCTGTCATGTTGGGGAGCAGAATCTGGCATAGAGCAAGGCTTCGAAAGGTGATTTCCGAAGCCACAGGCTCCACTTCATAGCCCAGGCAAGACATACTCTGAGGATGCTCAACAGTGGCAAAGGTAACTGAAGAGATAAAGCACACGCTGTTCAGCCAAGCAGAGGCTCTGCACAAGATTTCTGGTCCTATGAAGAAGCTGGCAAGGTAGGGAAGGACCAATTTATTGGAATCTCTCTTAAAGGGAGAAGTTCTGCATTGGGGTCAGCTGAGCCCAAGGCCCCTATGACCTGAAACATGGCACTGCCTCACTGGCACGTTCTCCTCTGGGGCCACCCATACCCTGGCCCTCTGCATGAGCAGGAGGGTGGACACGTGGAGATGTGAGACAGAAAGCTACCGAGACAAGCACAAAGTTAAGGGAACCCAGAAGCCCTGACTCACCATTCAAAGGAAAAAACAGGAACTTCATTCTCACCCTGCTATGTTTACACCAGCACTTCTGAGCTTGCAGTTAAAACTGCAGTGTTTGCATATAGAAGGCTCAGAGCAGAAATGCCTCAAACAGCTCCTTCCGGCAGATTCCCTAATTCCAGAAAAAGGAGGTCTTCTTGTGTCCTCTAGGAGAATCAGACCTTTCCTTTCACTTCTACTCCTGCCTCTAACCACCTACCCCCAGCTTAAAACACCCTGAACCTCAGGATACCACGAAAAATAACCATTACTTGACAGAAAGGACCCCTCAACCCTTGAGAGGCAAGAAGAGAGGGTTGCATGTAAAGGAGAATAAAAGGTGAGGCTTCAACCTCGAAACACAGATTTTTTTTTCTTTTGTAAACATACACATTACTGAAATGACAGCAACCCACATTGCAGAGGAGAAAAGTCTATTAGCTGTACAGTTTACATTTCAATGCCCAAACTTATTTATATATTTACATAAAGATGCTACCTTGATTAATCAATGTCTATTTGCATTTCCACATGTGAATTTCTTCAGTTTTGATATTCCATATGAAGGAGCTACAGTGAAAACACTTTTGAATAAAGCAGTGAACCCTAAGAATCTTATCTTGAGATGAGATGTGTGAACCACCATTTGAATGTTATTTCTCCCTGCTGTGTACATTAGTCTGGCTGGGTGTTGGTCACAGACATGGATGCACTGACGGCTATTCCCATAACCGAGCCAGGCGGGAAGGGGGAAAAGGAAGACATTATTTGTCACCAACAACCCAGTATCCCAAGTCAAAATTCTCAACTATGGCCAAAAAGGCCTAAACTCGACCCACAGGAACTGGCTTTCTAACTGGTTGACAAACACGTAAGCTGCCCTCCTGCAAAAGCCAACCAGAGAACAGGCAGGTGGCAACAGGACCCAGCCTAGAGCAGAGCACTTCAGAAGAGGATGGATAAATCCATCAGGGATGCTCAGGGCTTCCTGACCACTGTCCCGGGTGAAGGCACTGCCACATTTTCTCTCAACAAATCTGTTATGTCCCTGGATCCAATTATTTAGCCTAAGGAATGTCACCTCTGCTAAAGAGAAGTGTGTTTGTGAGGGGTCCAAAATGATAAACCGTCTTGTTAGCATCATGCTCCACCCTCTGAGTTAACCAGCTCAGATCCTTGCTAGATTTTGGAATCCAGTAAATCTGTGTTGACCCAGAGGTGCTGCTGCTAATGCCTCCAGAGAATTCGTGTCCAGATGAAGAGACTTAGAGTGGCTTCTCCATCCTGCTCGAACTTCAATTGCTCTATCCTCCGGTAGTCCAAACTTCAGCCTTTAAAAATACCCAACTTACTCCAAGAGCATTATTGAACCCTTAAGAGACTAAACTGGAAAATTAATTTGCTTGCAAGCTCCAAGGCCAGCATTGGCCCTTAGCAATTCACCAATTCATCCCAAGAAGAGGAAGGTTCAGACAAAGAGGAACATTACATTGCATGGCCACCATCAAGTTACTTTGAGGAAGGTTTCCAGGCTTCATTCTATAATTTTAGTTTTCAGCTCACTGATAAGCAACCTCTTTCATTCTGACCATAAGATAAGCTCATATTTGGTGTCAGAAACATCCTTTTTTCCCTCTTTGTGGTCCCTACTCAAGTAAACAGAGAAGACATAAAGTTGCCCTAATGAACAAGAAAAGGGATTTGATCCCAAGACTATAGACTCCTAGAACTACTAAAAACCTTAAAAGATCATCTGGTCTAGTTTCTGCCTTTAGGCAGATGAACATCTAAGGCCACAGGGGACAGGTGGTTGTCTTATTCTCAAATACATCAAGGGACAAAGACCACACAGACTTTCTGAACAGTCCATCCCAATGTTTCCAGAGCTCAGCCTACTCCTAGTGATACAACTCCCATGACCAAGCCCAGAGGACCAGCAGCTCTGGGAGAAAGTGGCAGATTCCAATATCCTAACATGGCAGGACACAAAACCAAGGTGATCTCACCTTATCTCTAGGGAAAAGGGCAGAAAGGAAATTGCAAAAATTATGTTTGTTGGAAAGTATAAACAATATTCCTTTGTGTCAACTTAATAAAAAATGAGGCCCTCTGGGGCCCTGGGGTGAACTCCGGGCTGCTGACATCCCACGTGAAGTGGCTCCCAGTCCTGTTGGCTCCTCCTACGGGCAACAGGGGTTGTCGATAACCAGCATGACATCAATGCCATAGGCCTCCAGCAGGTCCAGGAGAAAGCTCCGGTCTCCTTGGGGGTCTAGGCCCATGCCCCGGGCATGCTCTGCTGTCAGAGTTTTGTCTTGACTGGCAGACACCTCCAACAAAGTCTGAAATATCCGGTTGTTTTGTTCTAGGAAAAACCTGCATTTGGAAGACAAGACACAGGAAAGGAAGCGGGGGGGAATAAAAAGCTCACCAGATAATCCACATATGGGGAACCAAAACTATACTGTTTTGTTTAATGTACTTTTCAGTGGATTCGCAGGTATCTTTTAAAAAAAGAAAAGAGTAAAAGTTAATTATTCAAGTGCTACTAAGGTTAGCAAAGAAACCATTTGGCATTAATTATGGTGTGATTAGGGAAATCTCTAAGCAAGATGGCCTGTCAAAATCCATTTTCCTGTTGAGGGAAGTGACCTGGGTTTAAACACAGCCTGAGAAGAGGCCCCCAAACACTGCTTTTCTCTCTTTCTGCTTAGTCATAGGAGGAAGCAAAAATTCAACAACAACAACAAAATGAACGTGAGCCAACGTTACCCTTGGGTGTTTGCTCTCCCTTGATGACTCTTTGGGAGGAGTGAGATTATGCACAGATCAAGATTTAAAAGTCACTGCTTTAGAGTGCTTTATGAACAAACAAGCTCTGTTCAGGACAGGGTTCACTGCCTAGTTAGACTAGACAGTCCAGCCCCATACAGCTCTCAGGTTGGCAAAGTGCCTGGTGCCTGAAGCGGCCCTCGGTGCTCAGGAATTTCAGACACAGTGGCACATGTCATACCTGGATGAGACTATGGCTGTGCTCAAGTCTCAGATACTTTCCACCTAAACAGGATGTAGGTTTTAGAAGTCCACTATTAGAATCAAGGTGCTACACCTTTGTAGAAATGCCCACATTAAGTTTTCAGCATCAAACCACAACCTCACCCCTGGAAGACCAAACAGGAAGCTGGGAGAATTCAGTTGATGCCACAGAAGGCTACTTCACCCAGCTGTCTAGGAATGAAATCAGTACTGTGAGGTGGAAAGGCCCTGGCTTCTGCACCTACGGGGCAAAGAGATTTCATTTGATTCAAGAATTAAAATTTCAGATTATCCCATAATATTCAGCGCAAGGAACTACTCTATTCAAAGGAGGCAATGGAAATGAGAAGTCCCTGAGTCCTGAGGGACAGACAGAGCTTCCAGGCAGTGGACATCCTCGATGTAAAAGCCCAACAAGGAAAGAAACACTAAGACTCCTGTTTTCTCTTAAGGGACCTGCTTCTTTCCCTAAGTCTTCTGGGTTCCCCCTAATGGCATTTCAGGGCTCAGGTTTGCCTCTGTAAGGAGCCCGGCTCTAAGTGCCCTTGGCAGCAATAAACGGCATCCCTGGCCCGCAGTGAATGACATGGGAGGGATGCAGGTCACTCAGTGCCGAAGGGATCCTCAGGGAGACTCCACATCCACGGCCCCAGGACTCACAGCACGAAGAGGTCCTCTTCACAAGGGTTGTAGTCTTCTTCTACTTCCTGGGAGTACAACAGCATCTGCCTGTTGGGAAGATCACCGTGAGACTCTGGTGCAGGTACCAGGACCGCAGTCACAGGTGAGGCCTCAGCCAGGCATCTTCAATGGGCCACCACCTCCCAGGAAGCAGCACCAGCCAGGAAAGGGATCAACAGGGTTTGGACTCAAAATCCCTGGGGTCCAGGGCCAGTTCTGCCCCTGGTAATCTTAGGCAAGTAACAATCTCCTAGTTGTCTATCAGAAGGGGATGATGATGATGATGATACTTATTTCACAGGATCACCAGATTATTGACAATGACATCAGATACATATAAGCAAGCTTCTAATACGGCGACCAACACAATGAAGGTGCTCAGTCAAGGTGCTTCTAAGCCGCACACACAGGTACATCTAAAGGTCACGTGGAGAGCAGCTGGCAGCTAAGGTAATTTCCACAGATTCCAAAGTCCATGAGAAGAAATAAACCAGCACCGTGGATCTACTCCCCTCCTATCAGGGCAGCATACAGGGAGCCTGGCCTCTTCTACTGCGGGGCTTCCCTTCATTTCCATCTCCATCCCAGGCAGCATGGAGACTGGGAGAAATGTGTCAGGGAAGGGGCAGAAGACAGGCTTTGCAGAGACCCCCATGCTGGAGCTGCCCTGAGGAGGGTGGAGCCCCTGGTTCTCCCCTTAGCTGCCACTACCTCTGCTCGTTGAGCCGGCGGTACTTCTCCCTGTCAGCACTGTTGATCTTCAGCAGCGGCTGCAGGTGGTCGTGGTGTGTCTTCACATTCTGGTTATCCACGTAGACGTCATACAGCTCCCGCTTCTCCTCGAATATCTTCTCTGTGGTGCCTGTGGAACCCGGGGTTAGAGAGGTGGGAACCCACCCGACCCCACTGGGAAACAAGGCGCCCAGGAGCCCTGTGTCTGGGAGGAGCAGGGCTGGGACCTGAGGGCAAGATGAGGGGAGGGCCCCGTACTCACAGGCCACATAGGACACCTCTACCTCCAGGCTCTCGATGTCAGCCACGTTCACGTAGAAGAAAGGTTTGGACTCAGGAATGGTGCCCCCGATGCCAGGCAGTGAAACGTTGGCCAAGCAGCAGCAGCAGTACACTGTGGGGATAGAGGAGGTGAGCGGGGAGGGTCTGCCCCTCCACAGCCCTTCCTCCCTCGGAGCCTGCGGCTCAACACCTCTGCTCCAGGCTATCTGGTGCTTCAGGATCCAGGTGGTCCTGGCGTTCTGAGGAGACTGGAGGTGGCAAGCCTTTTGGGGTGCCATGGCAGAAACTGACCCCTCAAGGTGACGTCAACAACGTGCTTCCCAAACCCAATAAACATTTCTCAGTCTTTCTCTAGCTGGTCTTGCTTAGAATTTGACCTTGTCAGAACTCCGGCCTCTGTAACCCTTGTGTCTTCCGGTTCCCCCTTCTGCCTGTCCCTCCCTAGTCCTTTCTGTCCTTCCACCTTTCTGGTCCACTTCCTGTGCCTGGAACACCCCTCCACACTTGTACTTTCCCCAGGTAACGCTGTCCATCCTGGATATGAGTGCAGAAATAATCTACCACCCTCAAATCTTTATCTCCAGCTCAAACGCCCACAGGTCCCGACCCAGCTAGGCAGGGTGGGCAGACACCCCTGCTGTGAAGGTCTCAAGGCAGCACACCCTCATCACATCCCACACTAACCTTATCAAGCCAGCCCCCGGCTCCTCCTCCGTCCCCCATCTGGTGGCCCCACCACCCTTGTTATCCTAGACTCTGCTTCCACTGCAACCTCACACACATCAGAACCTTTACAACCCAATCAGACAACAAGTTTTGTCCAGTTTCTCTTAAATCCATCTAGAATGCATCTTCTCTGCTTTAATCCAGCCCTAATCTTTGGCCAGGCCACTGATGTGTCATCCAACCCATCTTCTACATTGTCAACAGTGTTCACAGCCAATCAGTTCACTCCCGGGCTTAAAACCCCATCCCCTGGATGTGGCCCAAGCTCTTCCAAACTTGGTCAGTGACAGAAAGACTCAAGCAGTTTCTGCTCCAGGGATTTAAGCAGCACTCCTGACTCTGGCTTCTGGTTACCTCTATAGCACACCACGCCCACAGGTGGGGGAGAAAATATCAAAATGCGCTTTCGAAGTAAGGCAAATTTCCAGAGGATGAGGATCTGTTCTCCAAAGAACTTTATAAACTGAGACATGCAGCCAGCTGGGTGTGTGATCTGAAAAAATTGAGGGGAATAGGGAGGAGAAAGAGTGAGGAACAGCTTCTTAGAAATATAGCAAAAGGTATCTAATCTCCTTCTCTGAAATTCTAAAGTCCATCCAAACAGATACATTAAAGGATGCTTATTTCCACACACAATGATGTTTTTCACTTTAAAAGTCTTACCTTTAAACTGGATTTCTATAATACAACAGCTCCCTGATACACTGATGTTTGAGTTGAGTGATCATTATTTTACTCAGGAGAACAATGCAAAGGAAACAAAGCTAAATTTAAATTTAAAAAAACCAGAATAAAAGCATCTGCTTCAATAAGAAAACTCAACTCGAAAACATTACTAAGCACTGTTAAGTAATAACATGATGAGCAAACAGTCCCCAGTCAGATCCCAAATCTATGGGGGCTGCTACTGTGCAAAGTGAGGTGTCTGCAGAAGTCACAGGTAGGAAGGAGCCCCTGGCATAACCCCTGCTGCACTTCACCTCTGACCACTCTTCCTTCTTTTTTTGAGATGGAGTCTGACTCACTCTGTCACCCAGGTTGGAGTGCTGTGGCGTGATCTTGGCTCACTGCAACCTCTACCTCCTGGGTTTGATTTTCCTACCTCAGCCTCCCAAGTAGCTGGAATTACAGGCATGCACCACCATGCCCGGCTAATTTTTGTATTTTTAGTACAGACAGGGTTTCACCATGTTGGCCAGGCTGGCTTTGAACTCCTGACCTCAACTGATTCGCCCACCTTGGCCTCCCAAAGTGCTGGGATTACAGGCGTGAGCCACCACGACTGGCCCCACTCTTCCTTCTGTCACTAACTGGCAACCCCTGAATTGCCTTCTAGGAACACTGAGCCAAGGAGTATCATAGGGGTTAAGAGCATAAGCTCTGATCCCAGGAAGAGCTGAATTCCAATCCTGGCCCTGCCATTTACTAACAGGGAGATCTGGGGAAAGTTAGCTAATGTTTCCGGTTCACTATCCTTAACTGTGAAATACGGAATCATCACCTACCTCGTAGGGTTACTTTAAGGACCGCCTGAGACAAAACATGAAATAGCACATAAAAATAGCCAATATGGGGTGGCCACTACTGTTGCTTTGAAAAACAGAAAGGCTTCAAACCCTGGGCCTTGTGAGCTTTGTGAAAGGTCATTTCCATGCCAAAGTGCCAGAAGAAAGAGCTCATCACCCATCAGGGAGGCAGGCAAGAGCACTTCTGAGAGAGGCACCGACTCTCGGGCTGCGTGCTAGGGTTTAACAACCACCAGCCTTCAGAGGCACCTATACCCGAGCCTCAGGGCAGCCTCTGCACTCTGCCTGTCCAAGCCAGGGCTGTCCTGGACCCTCCGAAGCTGTGTCTGCACTACCCGGAGAGGATTTCCCTTTCCAAGGCATCACTCCTGCACTGATACCATTCCCCTACCCCATGCCAGGATAAAGGCGACCCTGAACTGAACATGTCCTGTTTGCCACCCACGCCTACTCCTCTGCCACCGCAACCCAAATCATGAGGAGGAGAGGCACCAAGTGACCAAGGCTGGTTGCATCCCTCCAATCGCTATTTCTCTTCAAAGTCTAACAGCAACCAGATAGGAAAGGGTGCCAAAGCACGTGCCGGTTCCTCCCAGCTTTCCCACTGGTTATCTTCAAGCTCCCAACTTGTTCTTCCACCACACAGAGGCCAGGTGGGGCTTGCCCAATGTATATTTTATAGGCTAGTGGGAGAAAGCGATTAAAATATAGCCTGACAGAGCCATGATGGGAGAAGAATGGGGCATGGTGGAGCAAACTGGAGGGTGCCTGATCCCACTCTAGGAGAGACAGAAAAGACTTCCTGGGGGAAGTGATGTTGAAGCTTCGACATAAAGATGAATCTGAGGCCGGGTGCTGTGACTCATGCCTGTAATCCCAGCACTTTGGGAGGCCGAGGTGGGTGGATCACAAGGTCAGGAGTTCAAGACCAGCCTGGTCAACATGGTGAAACCCCATCTCTACTAAAAATACAAAAAATTAGCTGGGTGTGGTGTCGCGTGCCTGTAATCCCAGCTACTTGGGAGGCTGAGGCAGAAGAATTGCTTGAATCTGGGAGGCAGAGGTTGCAGTCAGTTGAGATCACACCACTGCCCTCCAGCCTGGGCAACAATGCGAGACTGTCTCAAAACAAACAAACAAACAACAAACAAAAACAGATGAATCTGAGGGAAGGTGTTCACATACAAAGGCCTGCAGGTAAGAGGCAACATGGCCCTTCTTGGGACCTGCAAGTAGTTCAGGCCCTGTGCCCAGGCCCATGCCAGGGAAGCACTGCCCACAGGGCCACCTCCTTTCTTCTAAAAGGGTCAGCTCTAGAGACTTCTCACCCCTTCTCACCTGCACATGCAACAGAAATTCCTCCTGCTTTCATTGAAATCTCTTTCCCTTTTTCCAGCCTTGTTTCTCTGGCTTTTACAGAGAAATCTCTTTTCTTGATGTCTCCAGTGCGTACCTTCATGTTTTCCCTCCAACCTTTCAAGTCCATACTCCATCCTCTTTTCACTCCAATTTCTTTTTACTCCCTAACCACTGTCAGTTCAGTGTCCATAGCAGGCTCTGATAGACCCATGCCTGCCACTAGGGAAGCCCTCCACTCCCGGGGCCCAGCCCCCCTCCCCTGTATCCCTCTCCCACTCCCCCATTTTCCTAAGGGGAGCATTTAGCAGCCACATCTGGACCTCTCAGAGAGGTCTTCCTCTTCCCTCTGCTTCCTTTCCAGTTTATTTTTTTCCCTCTGAAACATTCCTATATCTGACTCCTACATTAAAAGCTTACTTCTTTAAAGTTTTTTTTTTTTTTTTTTTGAGAGGGAGTCTTGCCCTGTGTGGCCCAGGCTGGAGTGCAGTGGCGCTATCTCAGCTCACTGCAACCTCCGCCTCCTGGGTTCATGCAATTATCCTGCCTCAGCCTCCCAAGTAGCTGGGATTACAGGCGCATGCTACCATGCCTGGCTAATTTTTCCATTTTTAGTAGAGATGGGGTTTCACCATGTTGGCTAGGCTGGTTTTGAATTCCTGATCTCATGATCCACCTGCCTTGGCCTCCCAAAGTGCTGGGATTACAGGCATGAGCCGCCGTGCTCAGACTAAAGCTTTTCTTTATACGTGTGTTCATGTTGTAAAAATTCATTGAATTATATACGTATGATTTTTGAACTTATTTCTATAAAGTTTTATATTTCAATAAAAAGCTTAAAGATATATATATATTATTTTCCATACATGACAAGTATTGTATCATATATACTATTTTTGAACTTATTCCTATAAAATGTTATATTTCAATAAAAACTGACAGATATATTACATTATTTTCCATCCATGACAAGTATTATTATATCATACATGCTATTTTTTTTTTTTTTTTTTTTGAGACGGAGTCTCGCTGTCGCCCAGGCTGGAGTGCAGTGGCGCAATCTCGGCTCACTGCAGGCTCCGCCCCCTGGGGTTCACGCCATTCTCCTGCCTCAGCCTCCCGAGTAGCTGGGACTACAGGCGCCCGCCACCTCGCCCGGCTAATTTTTTGTATTTTTAGTAGAGACGGGGTTTCACCGTGTTAGCCAGGATGGTCTCGATCTCCTGACCTCGTGATCCGCCCGCCTCGGCCTCCCAAAGTGCTGGGATTACAGGCGTGAGCCACCGCGCCCGGCCTCATACATGCTATTTTTAAGTACTGTCATTTTTTTTTCCTGGTCCCTGCCTTTTTTGTACATGTAAGCCTTGCCCTACCGCATCCCATACTTTACCTCATCCAGGGAATACATAACTTAATAAGCTCATATACACCCATCAATACTTTCCATGTTTATGTCTGGGTGTGTGTGTGTCTCTATCTAGACAGACACTGTGATTGTTTAACAACAGTGTAATCATATCACATGTACAGTCGGCTGGCCCTCTGTATCCCCTAATACCATATTCTCAGATTCAACCAACTGCATGCAGATCAAAAATATTTGGAAGAATAAAGAATAACAATAAGAAAATTTAATACATGTAAAAACCAACATAGTATAACAACTATGTGCGTAGCATTTCCATTGTATGAGGTATTATAAGTAACCTAGAAATGATTTAAAGCACAGAAGGTCCCTGATTTACCATGATTCAACTCACCAAGTTTTCAACTGTATGATGGGTTTATTAGGATGTAGCCCCACGTTAAGTCAAGAAGCTCCTTAAGACTTTGATGGGATTATGGCTTCTACTGAATGTGAATTGCTTCCGCACCATCATAAGGTCGAAAAATCATACATTAAGTGGACCCGTCGTAAGTCAAGGACTGTTGGCTGGGTTGCCAGCATTAAATGCACTTTTGACTTACAATGTTTTCAACTTACAATAGGCTTATGGGGGTGTAACCCCACAGTAAGTTGAGGAGTATCTGTATATGGGAGGAACTGCATAGGTTATATGCACATACTACACCCTACTACATGGGAACGTGAGCATCTGCAGATTTGGGTATCTGAGGGAGGGTGCCTAGAACCAAGGCCCTGCAAATACCAAGGAATGATGAGTTTTCTGCACGTTGCTATTCTCACACAAATGAGATCTGGTGATCCTTCCATGTCACCTTCTTATGCTCTAATTCACTACTCACTATGGCTTTCTAGTTTTCTACCACTGTGAACAATGTTGAATTAAATATTGTTACACATACGTCATTCTGATGGATAGATCCTGAGGAGTAAGGTTGCTGAAACAAAAGGCACATGTTTTATTTATTTATTTATTTAGAGAAGTCTCACTCTGTTGCCCAGGTTGGAGTGCAGTGGTGCGATGTTGGCTCACTGCAACTTCTGCCTCCCGGGTTCAAGCAGTTCTCCTGCCTCAGCCTCCCAAGTATGTGGGATTATAGGCACCCACCACCAAGCCTAGCTAATTTTTGTATTTTTAGTAGAGATGGGGTTTCACCATGTTGGCCAGGCTGGTCTCAAACTCTCGACCTCAAGTGATCTGCCCGCCTTGGCCTCCCAAAGTGTTGGGATTACAGGCGTGAGCCACCATGCCTGGCCGTTTTTTATTTTGATGTGCTGACATATTGTTTTGTAAAAAGAAGACACTCCACTGTTATTTGTATCTGCAACCATAACGGTACCCTCTTCCCTGCATCTCCTAGGGTCTAACAGTTATGTTAATGAGCTGTCCTCAAAAGCATGGGCCATTTTCTTTTTTCTCTCTTAGTCCCTCATCCCTGGACTCTTATGGGGAAGAATACGAGTACATTTAGGTCAGATGCTGGTCACCTCCCTGTGGATTTGGAGATAATTCCAACAGAAATTGGACTCTGAAGGAAAAAATGGGTCTAAGTTATGAGCAGACAGAAAGAGAACAGGACTCAGGTCAGTGCAAGCCCAGAGTACCTCTAATGGCCCTCTAACGATTTCTTAATGATTGTCTCTCAGCCTACGCCACGGGGTTGGGAAACCTGCAAATGACAATTCCTAAACTCATACGCCAATTGGCTTCCTGTTAGAGTTCTTCAATGGAGAGCATGGACTGTAGATTGAAAGGCAGAAGGAAATCTCTTCTGTTTCTTGCTCCAGCTAGTATTTCTCCAGGAGCAGAAGACACCTATGACTCCAGCCTCCAGCTTTCCTTAGCATGCACAGCACACGTGGAGCCACACCTCCTGAGAGGTCCCAGCACAGATGCGCAGTGCCTCCCTCAGCGATCTGAGCACTGGCTGTGCAGGGACCCCTCCTGCAGGCTCCCATGGTTTTGCTCATTCTGCTTCTCTTGCTTTGTTACCCTAGCCCTAAGGAAGGGTGGCAGGCAGCCTCTAAGATAGTCCCCAGTGATCCCCACCTCTTGGTATTTACAGCCTTATGCAATCCCCTCTTGCTCTTGAGTAATTTGCTTCTAAGAAAATATGGTGACATTGCAGGGCTGTCACTTCCATGGTTAGGTTACAAAGGGTTCTGACTTCCATCCTGCTAGTATACTCTCTTACTGGCTTAGATAAAGCAAGCTCACATAGTGGAGAGACCCACATGGCTAAGAACTGAGGGGAGCCCCCAACTAACAGCCAGCAAGGTACTGAGGCCTTCAGTTCAAAACATCCCTCAAGAAATTCGATCCTGCCAACACCCACCTGATCTTAGAGGTGGATACCTCCCCAGTCAAACCTTCAGATGAGCCCCTAACCCTGGCTGAAACCATCTCATGAGAGATTGTGACATAGAGAATCTGGTTAAGCCATGCTGGGATTCCTGACTTACAGAAGCTGTGAAATAATAAATATGTACTGTTTTAAACCATTAATTTGGGGATTTGTTCCACAGCAATAAATCACTAATATAGGGTGTTAGTCAGGCTATTATCTATAATTACTAAATATGGGTTACCTATTCCTTTTTTACTCCTTCAGCCTTCCAACTCCTATATTACTGATTTCCTGTCTTAAATTAGTTTGAAATACCTACATGGTCTCTTTACCCGGTAAGCCCCTAATTGGTACTTATTAGGATTCAAGCTCCAGGGTCTACTATTTAAAGCTCTCTACAATCTAATTTCAGCCTATTTCTCCAATCACTTCCCTCATGCCAGCTGACAAACATTTAATCCCAGCCAAACTAGTTTGCTCATGTCTCATGAACTTGTCTTGCATTTTTCCGTGTCCACATCTCTGCAAAGGCAATGAAGTGGGGCAGGAAACATGCACTGGCTGTGGCACTAGACCTCTGTTTAAATCTTAGCTCTAACTCCTATTAGCTATAAGACCTAAAGCAAGTCACTAGCCCTTTATAAGCCTCGGTTGTTTTCGCTGGAAAACAAGGAATAAAAAAAAAAAAACAAAAAACATTTACTTTTATTTTAGAGAATGCTGCAACAGGTACAGATAAATAGCTGGCACAATGCATAACTCCCAGAAGGTGCTGAGAAAGTGACAGACCATGGTTCTCACTGCTGCTCACACCTTTCCTGGTTCTGGAATCAGCATTCCTCACTTTCCACCTAGCCAAATACTCAGGGACTGCGTCCTCTCCTAAGGCATCTTCCCAGAGTTCTCCCTTGGACTCTTGGCATAATTTCTCTACCAGGGGAGCCCTAGGTTTCCATGGAAATATCCTGTGACCAACCACAGGAGACAGAGAGGGAAGAGAAAGAGGAGATTCATGTTCTTAGTCATATTTGCACCCTTCCAACACCTAACGCTTTGCTGGGTGTTTTGCTAACTGTAAATAGGCATATTCTAGTACCAAAGCCAAAGTACTTCAGGAACAAATACAGAACGAAGTAACATCAGAAGTGTCTTAACTAAGAAATGTCATACTTCTTCATCAGACTCTTCATCTTTAGTTCAAATGTCTAGTGTTAAAATATCAGAAGCAATCAACAGAATTAAATCTATCTTTTCACAACTGGCCTATCACACACGCCTTTATACTATGATTACAGAAGTGTCTAGAAAGCATATTGTTTAAGATAACTTGCCTTATGTTTTAAAAAAACCAAATGCTTATGTTGCAACTCTGTTCTATCAAAAGTAGACATTTTGTATGATCCAAAGACATAAATTTTTTATTCATTAAAAAGTAATCAACAGCTACTATTCCCAGATACAGATCCAGTATAGTGTAAGAAAAGCAGGGCTAACCTCACCTTCATCTCAGGGTACATGTATCGGTGGATGGAAGGCAGCCAGTAGACAGGGGGCAGGCTGCTGCCTCTGCCGGGACCAGCATGGAGCACCCCCTTTTTGTCCTCATAGAAGGCAGCCAGATGAGAGTAATGTCCTGGCATCTCCAACTGGTGCCTGCAGAAAAACACACACACACACACACACACACACACAGTGAGAACAGCCCTGGTCACAGCTCTGCTACCACTCCTACCCTCCGCCCACCTCAAGGGGCTGTAACACTCAGGGGCAAAGGCCCTGACATACTCCAAAGATCCCCATTTGGAGGTTGCTTAGGTCACCTCCTTTGATGTTACAGAAGATCCTTAGGAAAAGTTCAAACATGGGCCTGAAACTCCCTGACAACACCATGGAACACATTCTTTTTCTCATGGGAAACAGACAGAATTAACAGACTATGACTAATGTCTATTGTTCTTGAGCAAGGTACGCCGGAGACTGGGTGCCACTTCCCAGAGAATGGCTGCTTCCTGTGAGAAGGGCCAGCTTGGAAGCCTAAAATTCCCTGCTTAAAGCCGCTCTTTGTTTAGAGAACTCACGCTTGCCTGCTTGCTTTGTTGTTATGGAAGAATACGGAGCTTACCCCAAATGTCTCAAATAAGGGAAAACAATTATTATTGGATGTCATCAGGGCTCATAATTTCTGCATCAAGTATAATAATAAAGAAATAAAAAGCATCAGAATCTCTTCTCTGCCCGCTCCACCAGCTCGGGTCACAGAGCCTGGCTGTGGCTGGCCCTGCTGGCCAACCCCAGACCCCAGAACCCAGAAGGCAGCACCGAAGCCCTGGGCCATTTCAACAGTGGAGAATCCTGCCCCCCAGTGGAGCGCAGGAGCACTGTGAGGACTGTTTGTCACTATATTTAATGGGGATGTTATAGGTTGAATTTTGTCCCCACAAAAAAGATGGGGCCCCAGCACCTCACTCAGAATGGGACTTTTTTGGATAGCATCTTTACATAGGTAATCAAGTTAAAATGAAGTTACTGGAGTGGGCCCTGGTCCAGTATGAATGCTGTCCTTATAGAAAGGGGACTTTTGGACACATAGACACACACATACAGCAAACAGCAGGTGAACGTGACGACAGAGACTGGGATGATGCATCTACAAGCCAAGGAACCCCAAAGATTGCCAGCATCCACCAGCAGCTCAGGGAGAGTCCTGGAACGGATTCTCCTGCATAGCCCCAGAGGGAACTCACACTGCTGAGACCTTGACTTTGGGCTTCCAGCCTCTAGAACAGTGAGACAGTATGTTTCTGCTGTTTTAAGCCACTCAGTTTTGGCACTTTGTTATGCAGCCCCGGAAAAGCCCTAATTGAGGGAGGAATAAAAAGCGACAAAACCCTCTTAGCCCATCTTTATTTTCTCAGTGTCCTACAATTTCCATCAATCAATGAACAAAAAGCAAAATATAGCTTCACTGAGCAAGGGAAACATCCCTAATTATGGTTGGCCCTGGAACAGCAGTGATTAAAAATAGGCACTCCCCGCTGCCACACCGCCTCTGCAAACTGCCACGGTGGCTTACCCCAAACTATGACACAAACTGTTGAGTCAAGATTTTCATCAACCAACTATAGCCTTCTATTCTCCAACCATCTCTACTCCAGAGTGATTTACAGCTCTTATGTCAAAGTGATGACAAGAGACCTTCAGACAAATTTATATTTTAAAAAGGAAAAAAATCATCACTATATTCATATAATGATTACTAATGTAAGATGGATGATAGCGCCAATTTCAGGGCTCCTATGCATTTTAAGTTTTGACAAGGAGGTAGTCCTACTATAACAAATATAGTCCTCCTATAACAAATAACTAGTTGGGAGGAGGTTGCTTGTAGTCACTTAGTTCACTTTTACAAATGTTCATGAGCTAGACAGGAAACCCATGGTCTAAGCTGTGTCTGACTATTCTGAGAAGATGGCAGATTTCAGATACTTTTTAGGGAAGTTTGTCAAACTGACGAAAGTCTGATTCACAGAAAATCATACAAAGGCAATTATGTTCAAAGGTGTTTTTATTAGGATGGAATTTCCCTAAAAAGAACACTGAGAATCATTTTATCATATTTTAATACTACATTTTCTGTGTTATAGGGGGCTGTGTCAAGGGTAATTTATATTTTTTCATTCAAAGTTGTTTCATTAGTATCAAATTTCCCTAAAAAGAATACTGAGAATCATTTTATTATATTTTTAATACTACATTTTCTGTGTTAAAGGGGGCTGTGTCAAGGGAAATATTTTTTCATTTTCTAGGTTTATTGTTTGCTGATTTGCTGCTCAGTTGTCTTTTCTGTTTGACTACATTAAACTCTATACTTGAACCACGATTCTAAAGAAAAGTTCAGTACAAAAGTTAGAGTCCTTTAGACAAAGAACTAATATGAGGATTCTGTCCTTTGATTGCCTCAGATATTACTGACTGATGGGACAGAACAAGGCAATAATATGGAATCTGAACATAGACAAAAATACAAATTGGCAGTTCCTGGATGAATGTTAAGCAACTGCTGTATGAAAGACTCAAAATTTAAACACACTACAGATTTTGCAACAAACAAGATTGTCAAACTACAATATCAAGAAAAACCAAAAAGTACTGACACAAGGCTCAGAGTGCTGGATGATAAGTTAGTCTTCAAAGATGATGTCAAAGCAGCCCTTCCTGGTGAACTTACCTACAAGAATGCAGAAATTGAGAAACCACCACACCGAAATGCATGCCAAACCACCTATGGAAACTGTCCAAGAGCCGTGACACTGTAAAAACTAGAGAATAACCGGCTCAATATATATTATTAATCAGAAGCCATAGGCTGCTGGGCCAGAGACACTGGGATTCTCCTTAAGCCCACAGCTCCTTCACTGATAAAACACAGCCATATGTGGCCATGCAGATGCCCAGTGCAACTGACCCTGCCTGTCCCTACCACACTGGCAATAATTCATCCACGATCAGAATCAGAGATGCCTTTGTGCGACAATTACACTTCATCACTCTGGTGTGTTAATTATTGGTCTGAACAGGCCGGGCGTGGTGGCTCACGCCTGTAATCCCAGCACTTTGGGAGGCTGAGGTGGGCGGATCGCTTGGGGCCAGAAGTTCGAGACCAGCCTGGCCAACATGGTGAAACCTGTCTCTAATAAATATCCCAGCTACTCGGGAGGCTGAGGCACGAGAATTGCTTGAACCCAGGAGGCGGAGGTTGCAGTGAACCGAGAGAGATCACGCCATTGCATCCAGCCTGGGTGACAGAGCGAGACTCTTGTCTCAAAAAAAAAAAATATATATATATATATATATATACACATATATATGTGTGTGTGTGTGTGTATTTACATATGTGTATATATATTTATATATATTTATATGTGTGTGTGTGTGTGTATATATATATATATATGTGTATATATATATATATCTGTCTGAACAAATCGTCTTCTAGCTCCTGGCTTTGCAAATGCAGAAAACTAAGCACTCCCATTTACTGCGGGTGCAGGGATACTGTGACACCACCTTCTGAAGGGTAACTTACAGCTTGTATTAAATTGTACATTGTACACATCCTCTGATCTAATGATTCTCCTTCTCGGAGTGAGGCCTAAAGAACTATTTCTAGACATGAACAGTCATTTACTCACAAGGATGCTGATGTTCACAGGGGTGAAAAAAACAAGGAACACCCTAAAAGCCCAATAACAGTGAAACAGTTAAATAAATTGTGATGTATCTATATACTGAAATGCTGTGAAACCACAATAATGTTGAGGACATAATTCATGATACACCGGAAAGGTTAATATACCAAGTTACAAAATTTACATACTGAATGACCTCAATAATCTTTTTTTTTTTTTCTTTTGGAAATGGAGTCTCGCTCTGTTGCCCAGGCTGGAGTGCAGTGGTGCAATCTCAGCTCACCGCAACCTCCACCTCTGGGTTCAAGCGATTCTCCTGCCTCAGCTTCCCGAGTAGCTGGGACTACAGGTGCACACTGCCACGCCCAGCTAAGTTTTTGTATTTTAGTAGAGACGGGGTTTCACCGTTGTTGCTCAGGCTGGTCTCGAACTCCTGAGCTCAGGCAATCTGCCTGCCTCGGCCTCCCAAAGTGCTAGGATTACAGGCGTGAGCCACTGCGCCCGGCCAATAATCCTTTTTAAAAGAAATAAAATAAAATAAAACGTGTATGTATAATATATATTTGCACATGGGAAAAGACTAGAATGGTATAAAACGAAATGTTAACAGTAGATATGTCTGGCTGGTGAGATCATTTTTTTCTTTGAGCTTTTCTCTATTTTTTAAAGTTTCCTATAATAACTATTTCTTAATTTTATACTTAGTCATTTTAAACTTTTCACTATGAACATTTTCAAACATATACACAAAATGTAGAAAGAAGAGAATGAACCCCATGTATTTATCATCTAGCTTCAATAATATTTGATCCATATGGTTATATCTATACCCTATACCCTACCATTACCACTTTTTTCCTAGAATGTCTTAAAGAAAATCCCACCTCATAACATTTCATTGATAAGTGCTTTGTAAGGCATCTCTAACTGATAAAGTCTGTTTAAATAACGTAACACATAATCACCATGCCATTATCTCATTTAACAATAATAATGCCTTAATATAAATATCTAGTCCACATTCAAAATACAGCCACTGTCCCCCAAATGCTATTTTACCGTTGGTTTGTTTGAATTGAGATCTGAGCAAGGTAAAATGTGGTTATGAGTCGTAGGTCCCTTTATTCAATAACAGTCCCTCTTGCCTCTAATTTAATTTTTTAAATTATGAAATAGTTCTCCAATATCTTCTGATTAAGAAATAATCATTAAAAAGACTCTTTAGAGAGATACTGAGGGCAAAAATTGTAGATGAAATACAAGTAAATAGGTTTGGAACATCAGAAGTCAGAAGAAATATAAAACACAGATTAAGTGTTGCAGAAATGAAGACTAGTGAATTTATGTAAAAGTTGCTGCTGTATTCAAGTATTATCCTAAGCTAGACCTAAGCTTATCTAACTGTGCTTCTTTCTTTTCCTCATACTCTGTCATACAAGTCTCTTCTCTTATGTTACCTATAGCCCTCTTTAACCACCAAGCTGCAAAACCTTTCTAGCTATGACTCAAAATCTAGAAGCCATAAAAAGATGCATGAATTCAAAGAAAAACACCTACATGACAAGAAGGCAATGTTAAAAGACAAATGAAAAAGTGGTAAAATATTTTCAATTTATACAAAGAAACAAAGAAAAAATTTCCCTATTGTACAAACTCCTAGAAATTAATAAGAAAAGGCTGGGTGTGGTGGCTCATGCCTGTAATCCCAGCACTTTGGGAGGCTGAGGCGGGTAGATCACCCAAGGTCGGGAGTTAGAGACCACTCTGACCAACATGGAGAAACCCCACCTCTACTAAAAATACAGAATTAGCCAGGCGTGGTGACACATGCCTGTAATCCCAGCTACTCTGGAGGCTGAGGCAGGAGAATCGCTTGAACCTGGGAGGCGGAGGTTGCAATGAGCTGAGATCACACCATTGCACTCCAGCCTGGGACACAAGAGCGAAACTTTAAAAAAAAAAAAAAAAAGTAAAAGAAATTAATAAGAAAAGGTAAACAACAAAATGTAGCAAAGGCTAGAAATGGTTCACAGAAAAAGAAATACAAATGACTCAAACATACATAAAGGTGCTTAACCTCACTTATAAGAAAAATACAAATTAAAACTATACTGATGTACTGTTCTTTTATCCATCAGGTTAGAATGTTCAAACTTTCATTTTGTGTTGGCAACGTTGAGGTGAAACAGGCATTCTCTTGCATTACTACTGGGCATGCAAATGGCACAACCTCTATGGGAAGCAATTTGACAGAATCTATTAAAATTACATACATATATCCTTTGAGCCATCAATTTCATTTCTGACAATTTAATATACAGATATACCCCTCACGTGTGAAATGCATGATATTCAATGCAGCATCATTTGTAGCAGGAAATGGACTGGAAACAACCAAATGTCTATTAATAATGAACTTGATAAATGCTATAATTCTATAGAAGGCATATGACACAGCTGAAAACAAGGAAGAAACTCTCAACCTACTGATATGAGATCTTTCATGCTGTTGAATGAAAAAGGCTAGGTGCAAAACAACACAAATAACATGCTATCTTTTGCAAGAAAAGGGAGACAGTAAGAATATACATTTGTATTTGTATATATACACACACACACACTTTGGGATGATACATGAGAAATGAACTGTGATTACTGAGATTATTTGGATGGATATGGGAACTGGGTGAAGATTTTTCACTTTATGTGAGTGGTAGTCTGCCATACTCTTCTTCCTTTAGTAACAGAACCTTCCAAATTTTAGATGGACACACGGACGCCCAGCTAAAGGCCACATTTCCCAGATTGCCTTGCTACTATGTGTGCCTAGTAACCAAGAACTGGTCAATGGAATGTGAACAGAGGTGGTGTGTTCAACTTCCAGATCACTCAAGTTCCAGATCCCAGAAGTTGAACACAGCACCTCTGCTCACATTCCATGGAGCCAAGGTCTTTCCCTCTTCCTACATGCTAGAAAATGACAATGTAATGGGGAGACAGCTTCTACCATGTGGATGAGGACAACAACTCTAGAAAATGACATAATGTAAGACTGAATGACTCAGGTCCAAGAATGACCAGTGGAACAGAACCACCTACCCACAATGAACTACTACGACTGCCATGCTGGAAAAGCTGTAATTCTATCTTACTGTGTCACTGTATTGGGGGTCTCTTCTTCATTATAGCAACTTAGCCTATACTCTAAAAGCCAAAAACGATACCTGGAAATGAGTTACTACAGTATCAAAAACCATATAGAGACACTGGCTTTGTTGCTGGAAGGGGAGGGTGGTGAGAAAATAGATATTGCAGACTAGAAAGCTGGCAACCCTTGTTACACTTGTAGCAAAACATCTGCTAAAACTTCAATAACTTGGGAGACCCTGTGTCATCTGAATTTGTAGCTTTATGGGAAGCAGTTGGCAGTAGAATGCTGGTGTGTGTTGACTGCCCCTTGTATGCTTTTAGTGAGCTACTGTAAGAATAAGATAAAAACAAACAAGAACTGGCTGGTTTGCAAGGAAAAACGGAATAAAATACAGCCTACTAAGGGTCATGTGTTCTAAATTTGGCAATATAAATCCACTGAGATTCCAACAATTTGGGACCCCACAGGGCTGGAAAAGCCAATGCTACTGTACACCAAAAGCAGGAGACAGGAGTCTCTCTCAGGGCATCTATGAAAGTCTCCAGTTTAGTATTCTTGGGCAGACAAGGGAGTCAGCTTATTTACAAAGATCAGATTTAGGGAATCACCTCAAGGAAGTTATTATGAAAATGAGGGAGAAAGGGATGGGCCAAAAAGAGAGGCCAGTAACTATAATCTAGTCTGCTAATTAAAAACAATGACCCAAAGAAGATCTTTGGCCATGGATATTTTACCTGGAACTGACTGGAAGCAAACAAACGAGAAGTCAATTTAGTTTTTGAGAGACATGTATTGTCACATGCTTGGCTTATAAAAGCCTGTGACTTCTTGACCCCTTAAGAAACCACTAGACCTCCAAATCTATACCAGCAGGAAAGGTGTTCTAAAGCTGTACAGCCTCAAGAAAGGCATGTTCTCCAATGCCCACTGTAGATGTGGTTATGGAGGAAAATGAAGAAAGAATCTTCTAGAAGACAAAGCCAAGTGCCATGGAGGACAATGGACAAGGGATTCTACACAACAGAACCAAAGTTGAGCCAAGAGCATACTGACTCTGCAATTCTTGCTCAGCAGAATTTCACTGTTGTTATGAACTAGTGACCATCCGTATTTCTCATTCTTCCCTTTTCCAAACAGAAGCTTGTATTGTGGTTCCTACTTTACCTCCTATATTGCATTTGGGAGGTAGGGAGTAGAGGGACTTGTCTATTCTTTTATAAGTTTTCAGGGTAAGAAGAACCATGCCCTGGCCTAACGTAAAGGACTACTGCGCACTACAGAGAAATCCTAGATTTTAGACTGGAAGCATGAACTGAATGAGACTCTGTGATGTCTCCTTTGGGGTGGGAGGAATGGCCTCTACAAGGGGGAAGAAGAGTATACATGGATACCTGAGTGGCCAGAGGGGCAAACTGAAGCAGAAGCTGCTAACTTTTTCTCAAAGTCAAGTCTTCCCTTCTTCCTGTTTGTAACCAATGCCCCAGAGTTCTAACTGGTCACAGGGTCACCCACCTAGTAGTGATGCTTCCCAGGCTACTTTGCTGTTGGGTGTGTCTCTGTGATTGAGGACTTGACAATGGAATATGAGAAGTGAGATATGTAAATTCTAGTCTTTCCTTCTTCCCTATGGGCTGAAATGCAAACATAATAGTAGTGAGCAGCTTTTAACATTTGGGAAAGAGCACCTTACAATACAAAACCATTCTTAGGATACGGTGGAATAACAAGAGATGAATGTGGGTCCCTGAACAATTGTATGGAACAGAGCAGGCTACCCAACTTGACCACCTGCCTACCTCTACGCTATGACATGAGCAATAATCTTTTATCGTAATCCGGCCATAGTAATTTTGGGCCTCTGTTCTTGCCTTTTAGCCAGGACCCTATCCAATATAATACCACCTTAAAATTTTTGGATTTTGAACCATGAAACTGTATTGCCTACTTGGAGAATTAGCTTTTTAAAAGGAATAATATTGTTTTAAAAGTGTCAAAATCCCAATAAAATGGTCTTTTTTAGAACTTCATAATATTACTTCTGAGACAAAAAAAAAAAAAACTGAGGAAATATTTTGAGTACAGAAAAAGACATATGTGCAAATGTATTTTCCACAGCTCCAAAAGGTAGAGGAGCAGCTAAAAAAATAAACAGTAAATAGAAACATGCTGCATGTTCAGCCACAGAGAATAACCAAGTAAATGTATAGGACAGCTCCAGCATTGAAGAGCTATTAAAATAAGCATCAAAATGACAAACAGGGAAGACAATGGGAGAAAAACATATGCATCATGGGTATTCCTGGAGAAGAAAAAAACAGAATGCAAAAGTTAAATATTTTATTAAAGAAGAAAAAGTTCCTAAAATTAAAAATAAAAGAACTATCTATTGAGCAAAGGGGACAAACTATCCCAGAACATACTGATATGAACTAATAAATATTTGGCAAGTTCAGGCCAGGCTCAGTGGCTCATGCCGGTAATCCCAGAACTCTGGGAGGCCGAGGTGGGCAGATCACGAGGTCAGGAGTTCGAGACTAGCCTGACCAACATGGTGAAACCCCGTCTCTACTAAAAAAAAATAAATAAATTAGCCGGCTGTGGTGGCGGGCCCCTGTAATCCCAGCTACTCAGGAGGCTGAGGCAGGAGAATTGCTTGAACCCAGGAGGCGGAGGTTGCAGTGAGCCAAGATCACACCACTGCCCTCCAGCCTGGGCGACAGAGTGAGACTCCATCTCAACAAACAAAAACAACAACAACAAAACAAAACAAAACATTTGGCACGTTCAGAAACAGCACAGACAAAGACAGACTCTATAGGTATCTGGATGGAGAAACTTCTCCAAAACGACTAATTTCAGATAACAGTAGAACAATATCTATAGCATCCTCAGGGGAAGAAGAAAGCATTCAAGAATTGTACAACCAGCTGAGGATAAAGGGAACAGGCCAATAGTATTAATCATGCAAGATCCTTTCAAAGAAAGAAAAGTGCTTGATGGTAAAATTCAACCATTAAGGATTTTTATTTTTTTATTTTTTAAACAGGGTCTTGCTCTATCACTCAGGCTGGTGTGCAGTGGTGCAATCATAGCTCACTGCAGCATTGAACTTCTGGGCTCAAGCCATCCTCTCACCTCAGCCTCCTAAGTAGCTAGGACTACAGGTGCACACCACCATGCCTGGCTAATTTTTTTGTTTTTGTAGAGTTGGAATCTTGCTTTGTTGCCCAGGCTGGTCTTGAATTCCTGGCTTCAACTGATCCTCCTAAATTGATCCTCCTTGGCCTCCTAAAGTGCTGGGATTACAGGCGTGAGCCACCATTCCTGATCAATTTTAATGTTTATATATTGTTTCCCAGTAAAGTACTGACACCATATTGTCACGTTTTTCATAATTGTTTTTCTTAATTTTGGAGGAATATTTCAAGGAATAGTATATCTTACTGTGAAAAAACATTTACTTGAAGTTATAAGTCAAATTATGTTTAATATATTTCATTAACACAGCCTGCTATTTGAGAAAATTAAATTCATAAAATATTAATCCTATTTTTGTAAAGATATTTGTATTCTAGAATTGCATTCATGGAATATTGTCAATGGATATCTGTGAGTGTTAATATATGAGAGGATTTTTAAAAATCCTCTGTACTTTCATATAAATTTTTAAATAATAAACGTGTTTTCCACAAACAAGTTCATGGGTTCAAAGCTGAAGATCACAATTATGTTGCATAAAAATGTTTACGTAGTGATAAATTTTAAAAGTATAGACTATAAAAGAGGATATATATTGTATGATGCCAAATATATATTTTAAACGTACACACATACACAGAAAAGAAGTGGTAACATTTTGTCAGTGCTTCAGGGATTAGGGATAAATTTTCCCCTCAAAATCTGAAATGTAATTAGGTTACCTGCATGATGAAAAAAATGTAAAGTAACTAATCGTTTTGCTGCTTCTGTTAAAAATTCTCTTCCTATGCCAGGCACCTTGGCTCATGCCTATAATCTCAGCTCTTTGGCAGGCTGAGGCAGGAGGATCACTTGACTGCAGGAGTTCAGGACCAGCCTGGGCAATATAGTAAGAGCCTGTCTCTACCAAAAAAAAAAAAAAAAATATATATATATATATATATATATATATATATTTTTAAGTTCTCTTTCTATTATCCCAATCATAGTAAGAATCCCAATAATAAAAGAAGTAGGCTTTAAGAAAGTTTAGGATTTCTTTGCCTACTTGGGGCAAGGAGGTAACTATTGCGGCTTTGCATAAACAAAGATCATGTACCTGTCAAAAAATGACTTAATTTTAAAAAGTGATGGTAGTATTAAATCCAAACTGAAGGCAGAATATACCCCAGCTTTCATTATAGAGTGAAGACTCATCATGCAGGACGTTGGCTGAAACGAAAGGACACCACCCGAGGCGTGAAACATCGCCATGGATGTTCTTGGAAAGACATCTGCTGCTCTGGCACGCAAATGCTGTCTCCGAGGGCTCGTGCCATATGCACCAGCTGGTGGATCCTGCTGCCTCCCTGCACATGTACGGAAGCCACGTACCGAACCTGGTTCTCCAAGAAGTGCATGTAGCGGTAAAGCAGTGTGTAGGAGGGAGAGAGGATGCCCACAGACTTCATCCGCGCGCCACGTTCCAGCTCGCTCTCCACGGGCATGTTGGCAAAGCAGGCCAGGCCGAAGAAGGGCCCCTTTCGGAAATAGCTAGAAGAGACCAAATACGTAGTGTGGCTCAAGATCAGAGAGGAATTTTGAGATGCAATCCTAAACAAAACAAATGAACTGTGTTCGGGGCTGTCAATGACAAAGCTCAGCCTCAAGAAAACAAGCGGGCCAAGCCACATGACCTCACTGATGAGCTTGAAGAGATTACATAACTTGCCAAGGGTCACTTGGCTGGAGCTGGGACTTAGTCCGTGGCAAGCCTGCCGCTCAGCTGCCCACAATCATGGACACATCTCTTCTCTCCTGCACCACGACTAATGACTTGGATGGGTGAAGCAGAACCAACATTCCTCTTCAGGCTCCTCTGGAACTTGGACTCTCTTTCGTAGCATAAACCACAGTGATTCTTCCCTTACTTCCTGAGGCTCTGATATTTTTCACTGAGCTGCCATTTTATTTCCTCCTCTTCTCACACTTGTATCAATCATGAATTAAGCCCCATGAGGAGATTAAAGCCACTTCATTACCCTTAAGCTCTTTCCATTGTTCCTTCTCGCAAAACTCTCTGAATGCCCCACTACACAGGACTAAAAAATGGCCTTACTTAAAGCTGAAATTTCAAGGTTGAACACATAGATATCCTCAGTTAACTCACACGGGGCTGAAACTGTGCACTTTCATTAAAACCAAACCTCAAGTGAGGTCCATGTAATTTCTGAGAAAGTGAGAGAACCTCTACAGGCAGGGATTCTTAAGATTTGCAGGTCATGAAGCCCATTGAGAATCTGATGAAAGCTAGACATCTCACTAGAAAAATGATGTAAACACAAAACTATCCATGTATTTTCAAGGCATTTACACACAGCACACGAAGACCTCCTAATAAGAGCCCTTCAGCTTTGGGGAAAGTGTGGAGGTGGGGGGAATGGTACGAAGATGACTCCAGTTCAGAAGTACTTACATGAAATCAGATTGGATTTTATGGGACCCACTGGCCATAGACTTGAACTCAACACCTTCAAGGTCAATATCTTGAGGTAAGCACCATTCTACCATGTTTCCTGCAGGAAAAGGAAGATGCAAGTTAAAAGAAACAACATCATTCAAAGAAAATGGGTTAGTACAGGGCTTAGCACACATGGCTTTTCAATAAACCGACTGCTGACTCAGCCTCAGACAGACCAGCGAGATGCTCAGAGCTCAGCCCCTCCATCACTGGCAGGGGTGACGCCGGAGGACGTGGAGGTGGACACTAAAAGAACCTCCCATTTCTGCCCTCAAACACTGTTCTCCTCCCTCATGAGGATGCTGCGTTTGCTTCTGTCATTCTGCTCAACCACTTCCAAATCTGCTTTTTGTAGCCTCACTTCTCTGCATGTTTTTTTAACCTTCCACCCTCATTTCCTTATCTTGTGTTCTCCCCTTAATCCCTTGAGATCTTGATTCTATCTATAGCCACTAATGACTGGGAAAAAATCCCAAAACATTTTTTAAATTCTCATTCTCGTTTACCTCTAGGTAGCATTTGCTAATTCCTCAAACATTTCTCCTCTTTTTCCTGGATTTTCATGATAGAATACTATTTTAGTGCTTTTCCTACCTCTCTGACCAATGTAACTCTGTTTCCCCTCCTCTCTCTCTCCTCTCTAAGTGAGGTCCTTCTTCAAGGGACAATGATATTTGCTTCCAGAATTTTGGGACTCATTCACTCATCATTGATTATTCAGTTTCTCCTGAGCTAGATGCTGGAGATACAAAGTCCCTGACCTCAGTGAGATTAGATTCCAGAGAGAAATGAGGAGAGCTAGAGGAGATCAGCAGTTACAGTGCAGTGGGATCAATGTTATGACAGAGGATAAGGTGCGATTTTTTTTTTTTTTTCTCGAGACTGAGTTTCACTTTGTCGCCCAGGCTGGAGTGCAGTGGCACAATCTCGGGTCACTGCAAGCTCCACCTCCCAGGTTCAAGGCGATTCTCCTGCCTCAGCCTCCCACGTAGCTGGGATTACAGGCGCATACCAGCACACTCGGCTAATTTTTTTTTTTTTTTTTTTTGAGACAGAGTCTTGCTCTTGTCACCCAGGCTGGAGTGCAGTGGCGCGATCTCGGCTCAATGCAAGCTCCGCCTCCCAGGTTCATGCCATTCTCCCGCCTCAGCCTCCCCAGTAGCTGGGACTACAGGCACCTGCCACCAGGCCCGGCTAATTTTTTGTATTTTTAGTGGAGACGGGGTTTCACCATGTTAGCCAGGATGGTCTCAATCTCCTGACCTTGTGATCCGCCCACCTCAGCCTCCCAAAGTGCTGGGATTACAGGCGTGAGCCACCGCACCCGGCCATGCCCAGCTATTTTTTTTGTATTTTTAGTAGAGATGGGGTTTCACCAAGTTGCCCAGGCTGGTCTTCAACTCCTGACCTCAGGTGATCCACCTGCCTCGGCCTCCCAAAGTGTTGGGATTACAGGTGTGAGCCACCGCTCTAGGCCAAAGTAGGATTTTAAAAGTACAAGCATGCCTCGGGCTGCGGGAATCAGGGAACTACACAATAGCAGTGTTATCTAGAGTCTTGAGAGAACACTATAGAATACTCCCTGTTGTTTTCATGCATATTCAAAAGGGTTTAAAGCAAAACACTAAGCTATTTGTGAGATTTCATTTCAGAACAAACTTCTTATTAACACTCCAAATCCTAATTTGCTAGGCATTAGAAAAACCATCAATGATCCCAGCCAAACAACGCTTTCAGATAATTGTTCAGGGCATCAGGGAATACACAATCTAGTCTCAGGACATGGTAGATATCATAGAGCATTGTCGAATCTCACACTCAACAGCCCAAGTCACTTTCAAATAGTTTATTTTCAAAAGAGGAATTATGATTCTGATCATTTAGTCAATTCACTAAAGTGAAAAGCATGAAAAAGGAATTAAGAGTTCATAAAGCAGAAAGCCTCGAACAATGTTATGTTTGTCAGGGTCAAAGATAAGAAAAAGCACTCAGAAAGAAAGAGGGGTGACCTTGGGGATAAGACGAGTTTTTTAAGCACCAAGTTCCCCCACGCTTTCCTATATTTTCCCCTACCATCCATGTCTATTACCTTCACAGTCCAGTCGTTTTTTTCCTGTGGAATGCATCAGGACAGCTAGGGAGCTTTAAAAGGTGCCAGGGGCTACCCTAGGTCTATAGAATCACCATCTTCCCTGCCCTGCCACAGGGTGATTCTGCTGATGCATGCCAGCAATAAGAGCCCCTGCTTGGGCCTCTGTATACACGCTCCTAACGCTTAACAGTGGCAGTATATGGTCAGCAGAGGAAAGGGACTGTCTGGGACAGAGCTACAATGACCCTCGATAGGCTCTGTCCTCCTCATACTCAACCAACCTGCTTCTTCTAATACTTACTGCCTTGTTTACCCACACGCCACACATTACGGGGTTCAGCTAGCTCAAATTTAGCTTCTTTCCTCCAACCCAGCCTGCCCATGACTACTCAGTGTCTTAAAACTTTATTTACCCAAATGTTATATTGAAGTATAGCATAAGTATAGAAAAGTGCAAAGATGTTTATTGCAGCACTATTCACAATAGCAAAGACATGGAATCAACCCAAATGCCTATCAATGGTAGACCGGATAAAGAAAATGCGGTACATATACACCGTAGAATACTATGCAGCCATAAAAAGGAATGAGATCATGTCCTTTGCAGGGACATGGATGGAGCTGGAAGCCATTATCCTCAGCAAACTAACATGGGAACAGAAACCCAAACACAGCATGTTCTCACTCATAAGTGGGAGCTGAACAATGAGAACACATGGACACAGGGAAGGGAACAACACACACCAGGTCCTGTCAGCAGGGAAGGGGAAGAAAAAGCATCAGAATAAATAGCTAACACATGCAGGGCTTAATACCTAGGTGATGGGTTGAGAGGTGCAGCAAACCACCATGGCACATGTTTACCTATGTAACAAACCTGCACATCCTGCACATGTATCCTGGAACTTAAACTTTTAAAAAAAGTGCACAAAGTACAACTCAATGGATTTTCCCAAAGTAAACATATTTGTGTAAGTAGCACCCAGATCAAGAAGCTGAAAGAACATTATTTGTACAACAGAAACCTCCCTCATAGCAGCTCCAAGTCATTAACCCTCTCTCATGAATTAGCTTAGCCTCTTCTGAGTTTCTACAAAATGTAATTATAGTTTGCTTTTATGTCTTTTATGTCATCCATGCTGATATGTGTAGCAACAGTTTGTTCATCTATTACTTCTATCATATGCATGTAGCAGTTTACCTGCTTAACTGGTGATGCACATTTAGGTTACTTCCAATTTGAAGTTACAGCAACGGGCACTGCTGTAAACAATCCTGTATTTGCCATCTGCTGAAATAGCGTAAAGTGGCATTGTAATGCATTGACCTGGTTGGGCTGAACTATCCTTCTCAGAATTCCCTTCTTTGTATGTTTCCAGCTGAGATTTGGAAGTGAATCAGTAGCCACGTTATGTTTGCATCTGTAAGGTCAGTGCAGAAGGTCCACTGCATAGCTGCTTCTCTGCAGGCTTACTAGAGTGGTGAGGGGCAGCAGCCAGCCCTGATGATGCTGCAGCCACCATCCCTTGATCTTCCTTCAGTTTCTCTGACTCCTAAGCCAGGTGTATGTTTAGTTCCATAATAAAGGGCATCGGCTTCTCCTTAGGACACCCACATCACCAAAGCTGGATACAGTAACAGCCTGATCCGCGTTCCCACCTATCTTCATGAGTTTCAGCTTCTTACTCTTCCTTTTCCTCCTCCTCCTCCTCTTGTTCAGAAGTTTACTCTCTTCCTTCATAACTGTCTGCCCAGTAGACTTCAAACTCCAACATCAGATACAAAGAACAGCCTTATATAGATTGTCTAACAGCTCCCACAGTTGCATAAAACCAAATCCCTGCAACAAATTCCTTTATGTATCTCCTAGTTTTTCGGTTCCTCTGATTGAACTTTGACCAACACAATATGCACATTTCTACTGACTACATCCCTAGGAATAGAATTGCTTTAAAAATGTTTGCGTCACTGCAAACTAAGACACTTTCAATGATTCCCAAAGTAGTATTTCCCAAGCTTAGGTTAATAGGGCTTCTGCAAAAAAGAAAACAAAATTTTGTGAAATGTGTGTGTTTTTGGCCAAATTATCTTAGCTTAAACAAAGCTAGACACATTCCTTTATTGAAGTACTTCTCAGAGCCTTTAATATGCCACTCTGCATCGTGAATCTCCGTGAGATCAATACAGTGCTTAATGTTTCCCCAAATTATCTTTTTTAAAGGAGTATCTTAAATCTTTTTAAAAGGAGTATCTTAAGAGACTAATTTTATAGAAGGCACTTTTTAAAAAAAAAAAGAAATACAGGTATATCAGGTGTGCAAGCTGTCCTTCCATATCCACTCTTCTCTTCTTATATGAATCAGAACCTGTTATTTTTAGCTTGGTGCATGGCCTTCCAAATGAAGGCTATGTTTCTCAGTACCTTCATGAGTGAATTCTGGTCAGTGTCATGTGGACAGAAATGAGGTGCATCACTTCCAGAAGGTGCCTGAAAGGCAAGGAGCACATTGCCCCTTTCTCCACCCTGCTACCTGGAATGTGGATGTAGCATCGTATCACAGAGGGGATGCTGGAGCCATTGGTCAACGTGGGTCTAGGTCCCTGGATGACCCTGGAGATTTGGGCCAGTATTCTAGCCCCAGGCTGCTATCACCTGATCGTTACATGAAAAAGAAATAGACTCCTATCTTGATTATGCCACTGTTGATTTCGGCTTCTAGTATTCATGTCCAGCCTATGTCCTACTTAGTACAGCTGACCTAGAAGATAAAGTCCCCATTCCTTAGCCTGGTTCTCAAACCCTCTTCCTTGCTCCTCTGTGCCTACCAAATCTAATTGCACAGAAATGGAAAGGAACAGAGGGAGCGAATGACATACTGTTAGTTACATCCTTCACTCCTAGGTGGACATAAGCCCATCTGGGTTGGGAAGAAAGGTCCATTAGAGGCTGGCAAATCAAAGAACAGGGCACAGGCTCCAGAACACCACTCTGGGGAGAGGTATCCTTATCCCATGGCAAGCACATTCCTGCTGACAACTCCTTGAATGAAAGGGAAGTAGGTAGAGCTACTATGGCCCTTATCTCTACATATGATAATCATGTCTTTGACGTCTGTCTCTGCAGGAGTCTGTTAACTTTTACAAGGTGAGAATTTTCCTTGTCTTCACATTTCTATATAGTATCATGCCTTGCACAGGACAGAATGGGTATTTAAAAAAAAACAGATTTATTAAGGGCACGCATGTGTTTAAAAAAACTGATGAATTAGTGTTAATTACCTTAGCAATAGTAATAATATTGTAGTTACATAGGAAAATGTTCTTATCCTTAGAAGGTTTATACTCAAACGTTTAGGAGTGACATATTATCATATCTGTGACTTACTTTCAAATGGTTCAGGAAAAAAAGGCATATCCATATCTGTATATAGTCAGTTCTACTTTTATCACTTACTGGATTTGTGTCAATGCAACAGATGTACTTGAGAGCAATTTGAGCACAGGGAATTTCATATTCACTTATGCTATAGACTCAATGCAATCCCAATCAAAATCCCAGCAAATTATTTTGCGGATATCGACAAGTTAATTCCAAAGCTTACATGGAAAGGCAAGAGACCCCAAATAGCCAACATAATACTGAAGAACAATAAAATTGGAAGACGAACAATGCACCCAACTTCGAGACTTATATAAAATTAATCAAGAGAGTAGGTATTGGTGAAATATCAGACAAATAGATTAATGGAACAGAATAGAGAGCCTTGAAACAGACCCACACAAATCAATCACATAATCTTTGCCAAAGGAACAAAGGCAATATAATGGAGAAAAGACAGTCTTTACAATAAATGGTGCTGAAACAAGTGGACATCTACATGCAAAGCAATGAAACTAGACACCTACTTTACCCCTTTCACAAAAATTTATTCAATATGGAAAGTAGCTAGCCTAGGCAACATAGCGAGACCCTGTCTCTACAAAAAATTAAAAAAAAAAATTAGCCAGGCATGGTGGTGTGTGCCTGTCGTGCTAGCTACCTGGGAGGCTGGGGTGGGAGGATCACTTGAGCCCAGGAGTTCAAGGCTACAAGGAGCTGTGCTCACTCCACTGCATCCCAACCCAGGCAAAAGAGTGAGACCCTGTCTCTAAAATAATAATAATTTTTTAAAATATGTAAACCAAAATGTAAAATGCAGAATTATAAAATTTCTAGAAGATAACACAGGAGAAAAATCTGGGTGACTTTGGGTTTAGCAATGAGTTTCTAGATATAATACTAACAGCACAATTCATGAAGGAAAAATGGATATATTGGACTTCATTAAAATTTAAAACTTCTGATCTATGAGAGACACTATTAAGGGAACGAAAAGACAAGCCACAGACTGAGAGAAGATATTTGCAAAACACATATCTGATAAAGGACTGTTATCTAAAATATACAAAGAATTCATAAAACTCAACAATAAGAAAACAATCCAACTTTTTAAAAGGGTAAAAGATCTGAACAGACAACTGATCAAGGAAGATACACAGATGGCAAATGACATGATGTTGACTATTTTTTCATATGCTCATTACGCAATTGCAAATTAAAATAACAATGAGATATCATGACACACATATCAGAATGGCTAACATTCAAAACACCAAATGCTGATGAGGATGTGGGACAGCAGGAATTCATTGCTGGTGGGAATATAAAATGGCACAACCACTTTGAAAGACAGTTTGGCAGTTTTTTACAAAACTAACATGTTATTATCAAATGACCCAGCAACGATGCACCTTTGTATTTATCCAAATGAGCTGAAAACTTACATCCACACAAAACCTGCACACAGATGTTTGCAGCAGCTTTATTCACAATGGCCCAAAACTGGAAAACAACCATGATGTCCTTCATAGGTGAATGGATAAATAAAACGTGAGATATCCATACAAGGAAATACTCTATAGCAATACAGAAAAATGAGCTATCAAGCCATGAAGAGACATGGAGGAACTTTAAATGCATGTAGCTAAATAAGAGAAGCCAGCCTGAAAAGGCTACATACTATATGATTTCAACTATGTGACATTCTGGGAAAGGCAAAATTATAGAGACAATAAAAAGATCAATAGGAAGGGAGGGATGAATAGGTCAAGCATAGGATCTTTAGGGCAGTGAAACTATTCTGTATGATACTGTTATGGTGGATACATAACATCGTGCATGTTTCAAAACCCATTGAACTGTACAACAGTGAACCTTAATGCAAACTATGGATTTAAATAAACAATAATGTATCAATATTAGTTCATCAATTATAACAAATATACCACACTAATGAAAGATGTTAATAAAGGGAAATTATATGTGTATGAGTGAGGGGGAGGTAGTATATGGGAACTCTGTACTTTCTGCTCAATTTTTCTGTAAAACTAAAATTGCTCTAAAAAATAAAATACATTAATTATTTAAAAAAACCTAATTGATGAATTAACCTAAATTAACTGCCCTAAGAGTGGCAATGATACTATGGTGATGTAGAAAAATAGCCTTATTCTTAGGAGATTTATACTGAAGTATTTTATTTTATTTTATTAAGAGACAGGGTTGCCCAGGCTGGAGTGCAGTGGCCCAATCATAGCTCACTATAACCTCTAACTCCAGGGCTCAAATGATCCGCCCATCTCAACCTCCCAAACAGCTGGGACTACAGGTATGCGCCACCATGCCGGGCTAATTTTTTAAATTTTTATAGAGATGAGGTCTCGCCATGTTGCCCAGGCTGGTCTTGAACTCCTGGCCTCAAGAAATCCTTCCACCTCTGTCTTCCAAAGTGTTGGTATTACAGGCGTTAGTATATGTATTCACGCCCAGCCCATACTGAAAAATTTAGAAATGAAATGCCATGACATCCACAACTTACTTTCAAATAGTTCAGCAAAAAAAAGAAAAGTCTATTTATATCTCCACACACAGTCAGTTCTGCTATAATGCTTGTTGAATCTGTTCCAAAGCAATCAATGTATTAGGGAATTTGACATTTGCTTATGTGTGATTTCAATCATGAAAAACACAAAGTCAATGTGGAAAACTACACCCAGCTGAATCAAGCCATGTCGGAATATACAAAACACACCCACCTTAAGCTTCTCCTGCTACCTCAGGTCACCTCGTTCTGGGCCATGCCATGCACCTCTAGCGTCACAGTTTTGCCTCTGATTTCAGACAGCCCCCCTCCCACCACACATAGTAATTCACAGGCTCAATCCTTTCAGCACTCACCTCCAGATACAAACACCAGGTCTTTTAAAGGTACAGTTCCACATTTACTAAGTATGTATTTCTTAACCATTTATCATATGCAAAACTGTCCTATAGTTTTTGGTAGGTTCCTATCTTTTTTTTAAAAAAAATGTGCCACTGACAAAGTTTTTCTCATAAGCCCTGTGATTTTTACTTCATGATTTTTTTTTGCCGCACAGTGATTTTTGGAACATATATTTCATGTTATAGGGGATATGACTATGTAAGAATAAAGCAAATGGGGCAAAATGTCAATAAACGGGGACTCTAAGTGAAAGACATACAGGTTTTCACTGCACTATTCTTTCAACTTTTCAAAACATTTCAACTTACAAATTGGGGAAAATAATTGAAATAATAGCAATGTGAAAAAAAGGAGAGCATAAAGGACTTTGCAAAAGCCAAAAATAATTGAGGCAATGCACCACACTAATAGGGAATGAAGCGCTATCAGGGCTTGAAGTTATCCTACAGAAACATTACAAATGAAAACCAGCTTACATATGGAATTTGAGGAGACTTAATGGAAAGTGATTTTGCATAATTAGTAATCCTTATGGGATGCCATTTAATACCAGAAAGAAACTCATCCTGACTGCTACTTATCCCAGGCTCAGTCTTCACATTCCATGCTTTTAGGTTTTCCAGATATCCTCACTGTATTAAGAACTCAGCCAGGGAGCTGGGGCCTGGAAGATTCAACAAAAGAGGTCATCTCATGGCTAGTCCATCAAAGAGAGGAGGTGCCAGTGACAAGTGCCTTTTTCTCCCCTAACTTGCTCTCTTTCCATCTCTGTGTCCTTTCTCATCTTGGACCATGACTTGGACCTATTACAGGTACTTACAGGCACTTCCTAGCCTCTACTGCAAAGACAACTTCTGAGGAGGGATTCACATGACCACGGGAGGCACAAATGTGGCAATATGCATTGTGTACATTCAGCTGGTCATTGAACAAATATTGGTGGAGCACAACTTGGCAGCACGGTGCCTGCCAGGTGCTGAGCTCATGCAAAGGCAAATATGTCTCTGTTTAAAGGAACTTGGACTAACCGACTACGAGGCTGGCAGCTCAGTTACCCAGGCAAAGCCAGAAGGTCAGTGTCGCGCCTGGCTGAGGATGTACAGATGGTCTGAACCCTGCCACTTCACAGCTCCAAAGGTCAGCCTGACAGCTCTGTGCACCAGGGCCTCCCAGAGCTGGGGTTTTATAAGCCCATGGGCTAGGCCAGAGGTAGGCTGTCCTATCTAGGTTGACCACTGCCTCTGTCTTCCAAAACTAGTTCTGTTTAAATGAGAAATGACCAAACCCCCAGCTGTCTTAAAATTCATCACTATTTCCTAGGGAGATTGGACATTAACTGCAGTAACTGCTGTCTGCTAGAAAGTTCACCTCAAAATATTTAAAATAGAGAAAGCAATGATCTTGAACCAAAACAATCTCTTTTTAATAGGAAATATGTGAATTTCTTCTTCCTCCTCTGTTAGATGGTTCCCAAGCAAGCACTTCCTCCTGAGCTCTTCATTTCCTATCCAGAGACTGCCTCAGCTGGAGATCCTCTTCCAGCTCCTCTGACCTCAGGAGTGGAACTCCCACCCCAGCACGTGCCTGAGGTTTTACTCTTTCCACGGTTCTCTTCCCATCTGTGTATACATATGCCCTGATTGTAATCAGGAAGTCAAAACAAATCCTGTTTCAGGAATAAAGGCATGAATCAAAGAGTATTCTAGGTCCCAACAATACATTCCCTTCACATAACCACCTAAAGGGGCCATCAGATCCCACAGGTGGAAACCTCCAAAGAGTATTTGGTTCAGACCCTAACATCAGAAAAGTAAATAACCCAGGTGAGTTGACTTTGGGTCTTACATGGTTTGAAACAGTCTTAAAACCACCTAGTCTGAGAGCACATCCAAAGCAAAGAGAAAAGCATCAGGATAAAGAATCCTGAGTCAGGAAGAAGCTAATCCTGCTGATTTAAAGTCAGCTATATGCCAATCCATGGCTGAATTCCAATGCATTCACTTTACAAAGAAAGACCTTCCATTTCACAGATCCCATATCATTCTCCACTGGGTGGTAGTGTGGTGTGGATAAGGGGTGCAGGTAGACTTGGGCTCTGGCCCTAACTTTAGACAACTTAATGGCTCTGTGCACCTGTTTTTCTCATGATGATGGTGTAGTCTGTTGGGAGGATCAGAGGCAGGTCACTGAAACATGTGGCACAGTCCTTGGCACACAGCAGGCACTCAGGAGGTGGTGGGTATTACAATTACCATTTTTATTTTCCCCTCCTCAATTTTCAAGAGAAGAAACTGACTTCACAGCAGATGGCTACAAACTGATTTCTCCCTGAAAACCACAAGCAGGTGAATCACCAACAGCCTGGGAAAGATTCTACCCGGGTGGGATTAAGCAAATGAACCACAATTGTATTCCACTGGCATTAGGTGGAAATACAGGGGAAGGATGGCGACATGACAGAGTTTCTCTTCCTGCGAGACGTTCTGGCCGGATATCAGAACAGGCTTTTTCTTTGCCTGCATTTGAGCTGTCCATGCTTACGACTGCTCTTTGCATCTTAAAATTGTCCTCCAAATTTTCCATTCACATTCTACTTTGTCACTTTCCCACCCATTGCTAGAGCCATTTATTATTTGCCACGAGTCAGATGACCTGGGCAGCGCTCCAAGTGGTGCCTCAGACACCAGACCTAGCCCTATTCTCACTGGGCCTCCATCATCTCCATTGTTTAAAAAAAAAATGCTTATGTTTCATAGACTATACAGGGAATCTACAGAGATTAAAATTAGTGTGTGTGATTTTAAATGTACTCATGTGACATAAACATAGAAGCGCTCGGATACATTAAATTAAATAGGTGTTTAGATGTAATCTGGGCACTGGCTAGAGGCTGAGGAACAGGTAGAAATTCATTCCCAAGAAGAAAGGGAGAAACATCTTGAAAACCTCAGCAGGTGATCTGCCTCTCACCTTACCCCTCCTCTTGCAAGCTGCCCCAGTACAAACACAGGGAGCACAGGAATTTCTCCCAGACACCCACAATAAAACTCTAAACGCAGCAGTGTAAAGTGAATCTCTTATAAAGAAACAGTCTAATGAGGCAGATGCAAAGATGTCCAGACATTGTATGTTCAAAGCTTCATCGGCCTCCATCCTGCCCACACACAAGTCCTCAGCCACACGGTGATACCGCTCTTGCCACCATCTGGGGGCAGGGGTGCTCCCCAAGTGTGACAATATCCTCTCCTTTAATTAAGCAGACTAAGAACATTTTACTAGAAGCCCAAATAATGAAGTAAAATTAAAATCAAGGCTCTAAATCATGGGGTTGAACAAAATGAAACAGCAATATTCTGGCTTCCAACATCTTCCACCCAGCTTGCAGAGTTAGCATCTGGGTCTGGTTTCAATAGCAGCTTTGTGGCCCAGATGATCAGCACCACCATCCTAGGGCCCCCTGCTCCAGATGAGGACTGAGTGTATGTGTAAGCCTCACTTTGAACCTGAAGCCCCTAGTTCTTAAGTCACCTGTAGACTCAGCAACCATAATTTTCAATCCATGAGTCTGATGGAAATAAGCTTTAAGACTCTTTCTCTGATTCTTCCCACAGATGGCCAGCCTAGCTTTCCAAAACTTGTATCTAAAAGTGCAAAAGGATTACTCTTATTTCCACACCTTAGAGAATCACTGCATATATTCCTGCTCAAACACACACACACACACCCTTTCTAACAAGGATCCACCCCTCCTTTTCCCTCTTACTCTACTACCTAATGAATGTACAGCTATGAATTCTCTTCTTCCTCTTTCACTCTCCCTCTCTCTCAGGCACACACACTGATTTGGACACATGCCAACAGTTACCCACATTACATGGGAAGATGCACATAATGCCATGGCCTGGGCAGTAAGTGATGGGGGTGGCGGAGGGTTGAGGTGGGTGTGGGGTGGGGGGAGGAAGGATCTCCTAGGAGTGGAAACTGAGGACACAGGTGGGAGAGACATGGGGAAGTGGCTAAGCAGGCAGGCCAGCGAGAGAAACTAAACAGCAGACAAATCACACCTATGTAAGAACTTCTAAAATATGCTCTAATTTTGGTAAAGAAGTCAATATTCACTTTATCGCTTTTGGCAACACAGGCGAAGGAGGGGCAAAAGTCTGGGTGGGCCAATATTAAATAGGAACAAATAGCAGATCTGCCTCAGCAGTAAAGGGGGGAAGATGCTGGGCCAGTGATGGTCCAGCTCACTGTGCCACTATGGGCCTCACTCCACCGGAACCATCACACAAGGGGTACATCAGGCACTCTCTGAGGGCCCTGTCCTAGTGCTAACCTTGAGGCCCTCAGAAGCTCAGTAGCATTCATTCACTACATCTCCTACTTTTAAGATATATATAAAATAAAATTATATGGTACAAGGTCTATCAGAGTATTTTTACAGGAAGCAAAGTGCCATTTAGGACTAGGATAGATGACAAAAGAGACAAACACATTTATGGTCAGTAAAGGACTGCTTTCCCCCCACAAAAAAACACAAAAAAAACACAAGTTACAAGTGCTCCCTCTCACACTGCGCTCTCTCTTCCTCCCTCCTTTCTCCTCCATCCCTGGATAAGTAAGGATCAGGTGCCAGGGAGCAGGGGTTCAGGCAGCATAGTATACTAGAAAGACAATGGGACTTACAGTCAAGTATTTATTGGCTACTTAATATTCCCAAATTACCTAACCATCCCTGGTATGTTCCCTCATTTACAAATTGGGTATAAATGATCATCAAATTACAGAGCAGTGATCAGAATAAATCAAACAGCATTATAGTAAAATGCCTGCACAAAATGTCTAAATGTGTTACAATCCCTTCTTTGCACAGTAGCCTTAGTCTGAAAACCATCACTCACACACACACACACACACACACACACACTCGGTATACACAAATTCACAAAGCCATGCTCACTGCCTGTGACTGACAAGGAATGGGGGCAGGTACTAGCCCTCTGGCGCTTTTATCAATTGATAGATATCAATTGGCCAATATCAATAATTGATCAATTATCAGTATTATCCACCCTATCTGTCTGTAATTAGTATAAAACTTCTTTTCTCTTTCCCTTCCCTAAGACTCTACCACTGGAGCTACCAATACTAAATCAGACCGTGTGAATGTGCCCTTTCTATTCCTTCTAGTTACTCTGAAATATTTCCCAGGATAAGTCAAATGCTGGTAGCTGTTTACCTGTAAATGATGGGGTACAGTATAAGCAATATGATTAGTTACAAAGTATTGGTTTTTGTCTAGCATTACGGGTAACTTTGGTCAAAAAAGACCAATACTTTTCAAACTACTGGTATCTAGGAATCTCAAATGCGAGTCAACCAGCATGTGTGATGAACACTTAAAAAAAAGAGAAAAGAGCCACTGCATTCCAGCCTAGGCGACAGAGTGAGACACTGTCTCAAAAAAAAAAAAAGAGAGAGAAAAAAGAATGCATTACATGTAGAAGGAGTCAGCACTACTTCATGAAATGTCTATTTCAGTTACATAAGTACTGTACGTGTATGTGAGCATATTGGTTGTGATGTAAAATTAACTTCACATGATAGATCAGTCAAAAGAGTTTGAAAGCCATGGAATGTGGCAAAGAAACAAGCAGAAGTCACAAAGGCCTGAATTGTCCCCACAAACTCTGTCCCTGCAAATGGAGCTCCACAGTGAATCCCACATTCTTCCTGTGTCCTACAGCTGAGAACCCCAAAATTACCGGCCTGGAACCCATCATCAGCTGCCATACCGGATTCCCCTTCTCCAGATCCTAACCCCTTTTTTTCTCCACTCCATCCCACCTCATCCCAGAAAGCAGCCAATATTTTCCCGCACGAACAGGCACTCCACACTCCAGCAGCTGCCCTGGAGACATTGACAGTCACACCTGCGTTTCCTTAAGCCCTGACACCACGACTCCTGCGATGACACCTCCTTCCCCCAACCCCGAACAGCAGAGCCACTCTCAGAGTCAGAAGTCCCTAGCTGACCCTCCAAGGCTTCCTGGGCGCGCAGGGTCGTTCTTCCACCTTCTGTCCCCCGTGGACTCTCACCTGGAAAACGCACACCCCCCTGCCGGGTGGTTAGGCTAAGATTATGTGGGATAAGACTTTAATTCTCCAAGCATCTCCGAAAGACAGCCTATCCGGGGAGGCTTCTCCTTTAATCAGCCTTCAGCTGAATCCCTCAGCCCCATCCCTTAATGCTCCCGGCGTTAATTCCTCAAAATAATGCAGTCAGAGAAAGTGAACTTGGCCGCTAGGAAAGTTACCCCAGAGGAAGCGACCGGGAGCTAGGGCGAGCGGGGAGCGGGGGACGGGGTGGGGGGCGAGCGGGGAGCGGGGGACGGGGTGGGGGGCGAGCGGGGAGCGGGGGACGGGATGGGGGGCGAGCGGGGAGCTCAGGGCGCTCGCCCGGGGGGTTTCCTCCGCACAACGTGAAAAATCTTCTAGCCCCCAAGAAAAGAAAACAAAACCCAACGTGGCCACAAACCGGATGCCCTGTCACTGAAGTGCGAACACCACTGTGGGGCTGGGACTCAGAGGAGAGGAGGGGAGGGGAGAGGAGGTCGGCGGGGCTGGAACAAAGCCCTCGGGGCCGCTCCGAGAGGCCGCGCGCCAGCACCCAGCTGCGCCCCGAGGGAGAGAGCTGAGGACTGGCCGACCCCCGCCCTTCCCCAAGCCCGGGAGCCCGGGGCCGGCCCTGGTGCGGGGTGCGGGGCCGGGAGGGCAGGTGCGCGCGCAGCGAGCCCCTCCCCCGCGCCCCCAAAGCTCGGGGGCACCCCGACCCTCCCCACGCGCCTGGCCCCGGCGCGGCCCTCACCCGAGCGGGGGTCGAAGGTGACCACGAACACGGCCACCACCTGGTCCTCCTCCACGTCGCCCAGCTCCAGGCGCCCGGGCTGCAGCAGCACCTCCGGGGCGGCCGGCTCCTCGGGCTCCCGCCTCCGGGGCGGCTCCGCGGCCGGCCGGGCGCCCCCGCCGCCGCCCCGGCCCCAGCCTCCCGCCTGCGGCTGCGGGGCCTGCGGCAGGGAGACGGCGGGGCCCTCGGCCCAGCGCAGCAGCGGCGCCGCGTCTCCCTGCTCCACCATGGCTAGGCGAGGCGGAGCCGCGGGCGCGAGGGGCGGGGCGGGCGGGCTGCGGGAACCCCCCTCGCCTGGCCGCGCCAACGCCGCCGCCGCCCGCCGGGTCTGGCGCTGCCCGGGGCCCCGCCGCGGAGGCGCCTTTCCCACGGAGCCAGAGCAGGCGTCCGCGGAGCCGGCTTCGGGAACCGCGAGCCTATTCGGAGGCGCCCGTGTGCACGTCCGTGTGTGGGACGCGTGCGGCCGGAACGTTCATCCTTGCGTCCATACACCTGTGTGCGGGTGGAGGTGCCTTCTCACCTAGGGTTCCGTGGTATAGCTACCACTGTGAGTTTTTATGTCACCATTATTTTTTAAAGTCCGCTGGTCCTGTGGACCGTGACAGATATGTATTACATAATCCTGGATGTGTGGCAGAAGCTGCTTCTAAGCAGAGGAGTGAAGCAGAGGCGCTCTGGCTACCCAGGTGTTTGCAATATACTCATCAATAAACACTGAAAAGGCCATAGGGTTAAAGTTTGGGAATTTTGTTCTTCCTTTTATATTACAAACTGATTAGGATGGAGATTATGAGTTTATTTCCTGGTATATATACAACTTGAGGGTATTAAATTAGGAGGTGCTGGAGCATTTGTGGGACGAGGGATATTCCCTCAGAAGATCAGGAAAAGGAAGTTGCTCAGGGGAGAAAGAGGAAAGTCAGCTCTAAAGCTGATGGCTTTGGAAATGGATTAGGGGTTTTCTGTGAACCCCCATTTTATATTTAAAAATAAATTTTACATGCCTCAATCCTTGAGGTAAATCTAGCAGCTAAGTAACTCTTTAAGAGGAGATGTGTATAAAAATAGGAATAGCTATTAAAATAGAAAGAAGGAGGTGGCAAGAGAAGGAGGTACACAGTTCATCCAGGGTTCAGCAAGGCTCCATGGTTTGCCTGTTCGCAAAAGGACCCAGTAGAGCTATGTGCTGGGTGCTACTCCACGGGATGTTTATGAACCTCCGTGTCCTACACGTCAGCACTGCAATGATAATGTGATTTAACCCCTATCCCTAAGAAGATAATCAATGACTGCCCTAGGCTGCCACTTCTAATCTAAAATCTATGATATAACAATAAAGAATGTACTTATGCAGCATTTTACCCCCAAGAACAGGGTCTACTTTCATTATTTACATATTTAGTTCAGCCTTTCCTCTACCTTACAAGGGCAAGTTTATAAGGGCAATAAGTGACCATTCAACGCTCACTCCCTGGAGTATGTAGACAGTCACTGAAATAGATGGGGAGGCCCAGGCATGGTCCAGCCAACACCAGGGCCACGGCATTATCTGGCTCATTCAAAGGCACACCAGACTAGGCTATATCCAAACTACTCCAAGCTGGATTCCAAAGCCCTCTACTTCATAGGATCAGGCCATAGCCAAAGCTTTTCAGGTTGAGGCATTCAAAATTTTATTTTTAAATATAAAGTAGAGGTTCGTAGAGAATAAACAATTTCCAAAGCCATTGGCTTTAGGGCTGATGGACTTTCTCTTTCTCCCTGGAGGGACTTCCTTGTCCTGATCTTTTGTAGGAATAGCCACCTTCCACCACCCCCACCCCCCAGCACATCCTAGATTTAATACCCTCAAGCTGTGTATATACCAGGAAATAAGCTCATAATTCCCCTCCCAATCAGTTTTTTATATAAACAGAAAAGCAAAATTTCCAAACCTTAAGGCTATGGCCTTCTCCAGTCTTCATTTGTGTGTATATCCTGGCTTATGAACCACAATGTCTATCTTTAAATTCCTAGTGCATAATAAGTGCCCAAAAATACTTGTCAATTAAATATATGAATGAAAGTAGAGACAATTCTGTGCAATGGGCCCTCTTGTCAGACTTTATCTAATATCTTGGACATAGTAGGTGTTGGAAAGTGTTAATGACAGTGATGACATCCCTCTTAGCACATGCATTCACAGTCTGATTGAGGTAGTATACCTGACCATCAGAGTTATCTCCTCTTTGATGACTGAATTTCACAAGATGATAGGGAGGGAACTAATTGAATTTAGCTATTAGAACAGCTCTGCTGTTGACGAAAAGAAGAGAGGAAGGGGCAATCTTATTCAGGGACCCTAGTCTGATGTAATATTTCAAAATGATTTCACCTAGGACACTATATGTGTAAAACTGAAAATTTATTTTACTTTCCCAAATACTAAATATGTCTATGTTATATCAAATACAGAAAAATACCTTTGATCTATAATCTCACCACTGAATTGGCCACTGTTAAGATTTTGCTGATCCTATTTCATCAATTCTAGGATGCAAAAATTTTTAGTTTTTAATGTTGCCATAGTGACTCATGATCGCTGCTGGTCCCCGCTGAGGTCTAGTTCTCACAGAGGACATTTTGACTTGCTTTTGTCAGCCATCTGGAGGCACCACCAACCTGAGACTGCTTTGAATAAATTCTCCACTGAGGTTCATTCAACCACGCAACCTAGCTTCAATACTGACTTGTAGTTCACATTCTTGGACAAGACTTTTTTCTCCTTTCACCTAGTGACCCAGTTGAGACAAGCATGTTTTCTTGCTTGTCAAATCTCTCCGTGTGGGAGGTTTACTTGCCAAGTTTATTCATGGTACCCCTATTAGACTTCTCATTTTTTTAATCTGAAGGCACATAAATATAATAGAACAGTGGGCCCTCCACCTTCACAGGTTCATCATCGGTGGTAATGTTACCTTGTTGCTGACAGGTACTATGTAGTTAGGCCTAGGAAGGTTGCATCTGCACTGAACATACGCAGACTTTTTCTTGTCATTATTCCTTAAATAATACAGTAGAATGACTGTTTACATTGTATTAGGTATTGTAAGTAGTCTAGAGATTATTTAAAGTATATAGGATGATGTGCCTAGGTTACATGTAAATACTATGCCATTTTATATCAAGGCCTTGAGCATCCATGGATTTTAGTATCCATGGGAGTCCTGGAACCAGTCCCCACAGATATCAAGGAAGGACTGTATATCTTAAAATAGATATATTTATGTTTACATGTTGAATTTATGTTCTATATCCATTTTGTGTTCTTTTTACCCTTAACATCAGAATATGAACATTTTGAGATCCGATTTAGAAACTTTTTATATGCATCCTTTTTTTTTGAGATGGAGTGTCCGGCATCATTCTTATGTATGTTTTCCATTGTATGTGTGTTTGATAATTTACTTAGCCATCTTTCATTGCTAGATAGTCAAGACCCTCCCTTTTTGTTGTGCCTAAAGTTTTGACCAAATATCTTTCTTACTAAGCCCTGTGATACTAAGCCCTGCGCATAGCACTGGGACAGCTGGGAAGAAAACAGACGCTCCTTCTCATCAGGCTCACAGCCAGGCAGGGAAGACAGCTTCAAGGCAAGAAATGAAATATAGAATGAGGGGTGACAGGTAGGGCAAATGTGATCTGCCATTCAGGTGGCTGGCTTATGGGATAGCTTGCTAAAGGTGGCAATGCTGGGTTAAAGTGCGTTCACAATTTTAAGGTTCTGTTGATTGTGCTGCCAAATTGTTGATTCACCAGTGTATATGAGAATCAATTTCATTTCACCCTTGTCTAAATGAGGTATTGCCACTTAAAATTCTTTTTGCCAATTTGTCAGATGAAAATAACATTTTGTTTCTGTTTCTGTTTTGTAATTAAATCTCTAATAATGTTTTCAAACTACATATTGGCGAATTGTGGTTCCTCTTCAGCACACCGTCTGTCCATCATGCCCTTTGCTCGCTTTGTCCTTTGCTCATTTGCACCATCTGTCTGTGATGCCCAATACTCATTACCAATTTGTATGAGTTCTTTATGCAAAAGAATATTAATCTTTTGTCTGCCATAATACTTAATATTATTTAATTGTTAATATAAAGTGTTGTATGTTTCCAGTGCCATTTATTTGCTACAGAATCAGTTTTCTTGTGACTTTTTATGTTGCTTTGACATTTAGAAAGTTGGTCCCCCACAAAAATTTGATCAACATTCACTTCATTTTTATTTTTTTGAGACGGAGTCTTGCTCTGTTGCCCAGGCTGGGGTGCACTGGCACGATCTCGACTCACTGCAACCTCCGCATCCCAGGTTCAAGTGATTCTCCTGCCTTAGCCTCCCTAGCAGCTGGGATTACAGGTGTATGCCACCATGTCCAGCTAATTGATGTATTTTTAATAGAGATGGGGTTTTGCCATGCTGGCCAGGCTGGTCTCGAACTCCTGACCTCCAGTGATCTGCCTGCCTCAGCCTCCCAAAGTGCTGGGATTACAGGTGTGAGCCACCGTGCCTAGCTCACTTTTTTTTTTTTTTTTGGTTATTTATAAATTGATTTCCTACATTTAATTTCTTAATCTATTCAATGCCTATATTGATATGTGGTAAGAAGTGAGACTAAAAATTTTGCGTTGAACAGTTAATCAATAATTCCTGCATGACTTATTGAATAGTTATTTCACTTCCTATGACTTGTAATTCTCCTTTAAGTACAATAGTAAATTTCTGTATGTATCACTCACCGCTGACCCGTCTGTTCTTACACTAGTACCACACTAATTATTATACATATATTTTAAACTTTTATTTCCACGACAAGTAGTCTTGTTCCTTTACTGTCTTTTAAAAAAATTATTCACCTATTCTTTGACTATTATTTTTCCATGTGAACTTTAAAATCATTTTATCTAATTTCTCAAAAAAGTGAGAGTTTTCATTCAAATTGCATGAGAAATATATATTTACTGTATATAAAGAAAGAAGAAACAGCATCTTTCTATCATTGAGTCATTTCATTCTATCTTGCAGGAACAGTGTTCCATAGAGATAAGGAATAGGTAGCTCTGCATTCATAATTAATATGCATAATTAGTTGACCAAGACAAATACTGGTGATCCAGACAAGAATCCAAACTGTGAGACAAGCCGAGGTGTTGCAGGGATGAAATTAAGAATGGACAAGATGAAGAAAATAATCTTTGTAGTGGTCTAAGGAATATCTATACCCTTATCTGTCCTGTGAATTGAAGTTCCGCAGTCAAGATTCTGAGAGGACCCAAAGCCCAGTGCCTACAGGGACATCCTGGGTGCATCCGCTCCAGTCTCCCTATTTCCTAACATCCACTTTATACATTAGACCACACTAGTTGTAGTATCAGCCCTGTCTGCACTAGTATTTCCTTCCCAAGTCATCTGTGCTACAGGTGCTTGTTGGTGTGGCCCAAGTTTAAAGCACAGTAAATCATATCCCGCAGAGGTTATATTCAAGTTGTGCCAGAAATGGTATAGAGATTCATAGAATGACGCAGATTTTAAAAATTAATACATTATTTAAAATCAGCACATCCCTCCCTTTTAGTCCTTTTAAATTTGTATTGGGGCTGAAAATTAAGTTTGAAACCTCATAAAAGCTATCCATTCTGCAGTGGTGTACATCATGGGGATAGATAGAATATTTAACATACTTGATTCACTCTGGACATATTTATTGAGTCTACCGTGTGCCAAGACTTGATCCAAGTAATGGAAATAGAGCATCGAATAAGAGTTAAGCCCCTCTCCTCATGGAATTTAGATTCTATTGGGGGCGGGGTGAGGGAGACAGACAATATTAAAAATGAACCATTAAATATATAATGCATGATTTAAGGATTCCTGCTGTGAAGGGACGTGACACAAGGCAAGGGGCCAGTGAATGAGTGTGGGTACTCTTCAGGGTTATCAAGGAAGACCTCTCGGACAAGTGACCTTTGAGCACACACCTGCAGGAAGGGATGGGGCGAGTGAGATGTGGAGAAAGGGCATGCCAGCAGGAGCAAAGGTTCTGGGGCACAAAAGATTTTGGCATCTGAAGGAATAGTGAGAAGACTAGAGCAGAATGCCGGATGGGGAAGACGGCAGGAGTCAGACAGGCTGGAGATGGACCATGTGGCCCATGGGCCTTGGTGTGGGGGCTGGCTCTGTCTTCTGAGTGAATTGGGAGGCACTGGAGGATTTGAGTCCAGGAATGTCAGCATCTGACTTACTTTTTATTTTTATTATTTATTTATTTAATAATAATAACAATTATTATTTTTGAGATGGAGTCTCACGCTATCGGGCTGGAGTGCAGTGCCGCCACCTCAGCTCATTGCAACCTCTGCCTCCCGGGTTCAAGTGATTTTCGTGCCTCAGCCTCCCCAGTAGCTGGGATTGCAGGTTCCCACCACCATGCCCAGCTAATTTTTGTATTTTTAGTAGAGACAGGGTTTCACCATATTGGCCAGGCTGGTCTCAAACTCCTGACCTCAAGTGATCTGCCTGCCTCAGCCTCACGAAGTGCTGGGATTACAGGTATGAGCCACCGCACCTGGCCTTGGCTTACTTTTTAAAAGGATCCCACTGGTTACTAGGTGTGGAATAGAAAGCAACAAGGCAAGGGGAAGAGCAGGAGATGCCCATGAAGAGGAGGCTGTTGCCTTCAGAGGCAGGATAGGACTGAAAGGATCTCTTATGGATTTGATGTGGGGTTGCAGAGAAAGAGAGGAGTACTCACTTGTTTCCATTTCCTGACATAGTAAACATCACAGGAGGAGTGATGTGATGGGGAAGTTTTGGACATGTTAAGACTGAAGCCTTGTTAGACATCCAGAGGCAATTTGATAAGGCAGTTGCAAATCTGAAGTGTAAGTTAAAGTTCTGTGACTTGGATGTAAATTCAGAGGCTACCAGCTTACTGTTGGTGTTTCAAGCTGTGGGCTGACTGATATTCCAAGACAGAGAGTGCATACAGAGAAGAGGAAAATTTGGGGGAACTGAGCCCAGAGGCCTCCAGAGTTTAGAGGTCAGGAAATGAAGATGAGGGAGCAAAAAGATTCAAGCACTTTATTCGCCAGTTTAAAAAAATATGTGCATTTCTGTGTTTGCTTGATTACATTTAAAAAGTTTATTTTAAACATTTTAATAAGTATGTGTTTATGGCAAAAAGTTAAATGATCAAATTGCACGCAAGACACACTGTGCAGCAACCACCTCCTCTAACCCCGCCATCCCTTTCTCCATCCTTAGAAACAGCCACTTTTGACAGTTTATCTTCAGTTTCTAGTAGTTACCTACTGCGGAAGAGCTTAAATTCTTCTTTACCACATTTCAAAAAAATCACAAAATGTTTTATGAAGGTAAAACTTCAGCATAGGAATCTCTTGATTGGATCAGAAGGATGAAGAAGTAGCTGTGGATGTTTGACCAAGTTACTGATGACCTCCAGAGCTCATCCCTTGGAGCACTGACAGCAAATAAGTCAAGACGGAGCACAGTAGAGATCCATCTCTGAGAATGTCTCCTCCATACCTGCTCATTTCTTCCCAGTGAGGCACTGTGTGTGTGTGTGTGTGTGTGTGTGTGTGTGTGTGTGTGTATGTATGTATGTGATGTGGGAGAGGCAGAAACAGACATACACACATACATACACACACAGAGACAGACAGAGAGAGAGAGAGATCTTATTTCTGTGGCCGGGGGCGGTGGGGCTGGCCTTGGTGCAGGTCACACAGGTGACCCATTACCTGTTCTAATCTTAGGGACTCCGGGAATGACCACAGCCCAACTGTGACTAACAGAGAAAAGGTCAGACTAGTGGGTCTGTACCATCGTTTTAAAATGTCTGCTCCTTAAAGTATCGGTAGGATATCATCAATCTCTAAATTACTGGGACATCAAATCAGAGATCTATTCCTATTCTAAGTATGCTATGTGTTGTGTGTGTAGACAAGTGGTATGTTTCTACTGTCACAGCTATTTTGATGAATAATCTCTAGTTCTAGCAAATGGGAAACTTTGGCAAGAGAAGCAATTTGTTAAAATCTGTTTGATTTATTCATCAGATAGATTTATAGTAGATTTCAAATTAATAGAATAACCTAGGGGTTTTTATTAATGGCACTAAAGTATCCATGGGTAAAATATGTTGTCACTGATTTGCTTCACAATACCCCAGCACTCACCCTCAATGAAGTTGCAGTTATGAACTAAACAAGACTGTAAAGCCATACATAATTTTTGAAGCTAGGTTATGGATACATAAGGACTCATTATAGTATTTTCTCTATTTTTGGTATGTTTGAACATTTCCATGAGAAAAAGTTAAACAAAAAGGAGGAAAGGGTTAATAACAGACTCCTAGGCTTTAAAGCAGCCTCCAGGCTTTATTTACTTAGCCCGTAATCCTTCCTTGGAATTCTGTTGTGCCGGCAGTGCCACCCATGAGATACAATTTTATGAGCACTTTGAAATGAGAAATGTGATGGGCAAATATCAAGTATTGTTAATGATTTATGTAATTATCATTGGATTCATCGCAGCTGACAAGTGGCTGCTTCTGTACACTCTCTCAGCAGGCAGGGAGGAGATTAGAAGAAGGTCCCCCTTCAAGGTTGCTGGCTTTGCTGACCATCCTTGTCATAGGAACAGAGCTGTGAGGAGTCAGGAGCACTGGAGACCCCTAGTTTCAATGGATTCACATCCACCGCAGCGGCCCCAATCTGGACCTGGTCAGTGTTGCCGCTGCTGATGGATTTGTCCAGGGAGCAGGAGAACATACACTGGTGATTAAAATAATGTTTTCTCTAAGTTACTGCAAACTTTCTCCTGTGTAGTTGAGGCAACACTTCCAGTTGTGGTGAGAGATTGAACAAAAGAAAAAGCATACAATGTTAAAGCTGGCAGGACCTTAAAGACACTGCCTAGCCCTCTCACTCAGCAGTGAGTCGTAGATGATTCCTCCAGATCTTGACGAGGCCCACAGGCCCTTGTTTAAGAACGTCGCTTGCTGCTTTGCTGCTTCTATGGGGCACATTCTGGTGATAAAGGCCAGCTGTTTTTCTCCACCAGCATGGAGTTCTCTCAACTTTGTTTCTGGTTTTTAGAGTCCCTGGCCAATTGTCTGGAGACCCAGAGAGCCACTGTTAGTCTAAGGTCGCTTCATAAATAAGGGTAATCCCGGTCCTGGATTCTGCCAGACTCCTAGAAAGACTGACAGTGAAAGTGTCATTTCTTGCTTGGGAAACCATACTTCACAATGGTTTTCAATAGGGCAGACCCATTAAATACATAAGAATCCAACAACACTCTTTTTTCAGAGTCGGAATGACTCAGTTCTAATTCAGTCTTAAATAAATAATGTGCTGGACCTTTACTTAGGCCTGTTTAAGTGTTTTTTACAATTCTCTCTCCTGACTTGGGGGACAATTAGGCCAGCATGTTCTTCCTTGGAGCGACAAACTCTCAAATAGCTCATTTTCCATGGCCTTAGCTTTACTTTGACAAAGGAACAGTCTAACCAGGAAGGTGAATAAAAGTTTCCACGTCTTGCAAATTTGAATAGATAGATTTTCCTGCTTCTGTTCTTCCCATCAACATTTCATAGGCCTCAGAACCAAGTCTGGTCAGAGTGGAGTCTAGGTGCTTCCTTATCACTCAGCAGTGTGTCTGCAAGGGGAGAACTTCCCTCAAGCACACAGTTGAGGGAACTCAGCCCTGAGATGCAAGGCTGCCCGCTTCTTGCACATCTTACTCCTGGGAACTTCGCTTTCCCCCTGTGCAGCAACTCCTGACACATTAAGAAAAAAATTCAAATTTTTTTTAAAAAGTCAAATATGGAGTATTTTAAACATGATTGAAATATATTAATTTATTTCCCCAAATTCATCCAAAAACAATTTATTGAACACCTACTATATGTTAGGCATTAAGGGGGAAACCCTCCCCTTTTCCTCTTATTGCCACAGATTACATGGGTCCCCCTTTTGACACATCATCTCAACTATCACCTGAAGCTTTATGCTGGGATGGATGCCTGTGGGATTAACATATACTGAAGCAGAGATGAAATTTTTCATAATGGAAAGAGGCTAAAAATGAAGAAAAGGCTACAATGTGACCAAAAAAATAGTGAGGCCATGGGCCAGAGGCCATAGGTAGCACCTCTAGGGATTCCCTTGGGTCATCCAGATCAGCAACTATGCAATTCTTATTATTTAGTTGTCCAAATTTGGGATATCTTTTTTGTACTCATTGTTACACCTTTCTTATTCTGAAGACTTAGCCACAATCATTATCTTCTGAGTAACAATACATGAAAAGGTGAATGGTGCAAGTTTCTAACAGTATTACTGCCGATAACATAAGACCTCAACCATTGCAATGGCATAGCTGCCTCCCTAGGCAAACAATGTAGTCATAAATAAGGGTAATCAAGAATTATAGCAAGGGAGAGAGAAAAAGCAGCAGGTGATAGAAAAAAAAAAAGAAAACCTGGTCTACTTGGGTAATACCTAATAAACCAGCCCCTGTGCCCTGTCTACAGGACAATAATATAGCCAGTGTTTTGAGTCAGTCCTGTTTTACTGAGAGCAAAGCCAGCCTCTAGCTGCCTGGAGAGGCAGGAATGACAAGCCATGGCATGTGAGGGGAAATTCATCAACACCAAGGCTATAGAAAAGAAATCTATCATCTGGCTTGCTGATTTGTAAACAAGACACTCCTAGGCTGAGAATCCCAGTTGATAATAATTGCATTACTGGTAACCTATGAGTTCTCCTTTTTCTTTGATGATTCTGTTTTTACTGGCCCCTGTAGGATACTGAATCTCTGACAAAGGTGGGCAGTGAGTTACTGCATTTTGTGAGCAATATTTTACCCCCTGTTGAATTATCTGGGATAGTTTGTGTGGGTGGGAGGCTGTAGGGAAGGGCCAAGGAAGGATGAATTGGTGTGCCCACCTACAAAGGGCTGGAGCATGAGAAGGCTTTGAGCTGAAAAAACACTTTGAAGTCTCCCCAGTTAGTTTTCATTTGGATTACCCTCCTCAGGAGTTCTGGCTGGGAATGGGGAAGGAATTAGGAGAAAGTGGTGGAGAGATCTGTGAAAAGAGGGAAATGGAAGAGGGGTGACAGGTAGCAAAGACTATAAAGAGAAGGGAAATAACATTTGTTTCAAACTCATCAAGCTGGCCTTGGTTCCTGTCTCTCTTTGGGCCCATGTTTATCATGTAAATAATTCCCTATTTGCAGTCCCTCTGAAGCCTCCTTGAGGGGCATGAGTGTATCATTTTCCTTTTTCATGGACTGCCTCTCACATAGTTTTCTTCTATAATGTGATATCAGTGAGGCCTTTTTCCTTTGATATACCTATACATTGTGTAATGATTACCAAAAATTTACCACACCCATATGCACCCATGCTGTACATCAGGTCCCCAGAATTGTTCATCTTATACCTGAAAGTGTGTACCCTTTGATCAGCATCTCCCCATTTCCCCTGCCTTTCCAGATCCTGGTAACCACCATTCTACTCCCTCCCTCTAGGAGATCAACTGTTTTTGATTCCACATATAAGTAAGATCATGTAGTATCTGTCTTTCTGTGCCTGGCTTATTTCACTTAATATCCCCCTGGTTCATCCATGTTATCACAAATGGCAGCCTTTCCTTTTTTATGACTGAGTAATATTCTATTGTGTGTGTGTGTGTGTGTGTGTGTGTGTGTGTGTGTGTATTCACCACATTTTCTTTATTCATCTGTCCATGGCTATTTAGGTGGTTTCCATATCTTGGCTGTTGAGGATAATGCTGCAATGAATATGGGTGTGTTGGTATTTTTTTGAGATAGTGATTTTATTTCCTTTGGCTATATAACTGGAAGAGAAGAGGGACAGCTTGATTGTATAATAGTTGTTTTTTTCTTCAAAGAGTTTTCCATCCTTCTCATAGGGGCTTCTCTGAGAAAGAAATTAAATAATGTGTACTAAAGATATTAAAAAGCATTTTACAATATAAGGCATTTTTGGCAGAAGCCATTGCTGTTTTCCAGTGATCAATATCTGTTTCTATGGTTTGTTGATCTTTCTAGCCTTTCTTTTGTCAGTTTAAATTTTTGTTCAATTCCCTAGAAGCTTTAACTGCTAACAGCTAACAGCTGCAGGAGGGAGATGCCTGAATTAGGGCAGGTGTGTTTGGCACAGAGCTAAGCTGTGTCTCTGTCAGGGATACAAACTCCAGTCAAGATATGTTAGAGGCTGTTTAAGGATCATTATGATAGCCAGGTGATGCTAAATTGTAATTACCTGCTGTTAGCTATTGGGTGGGTGGGGAGGAGAAGGGAGGAGAGGGTGATATTTATAAATGGCAGGTGTAAGGAGTGAAAATAATTTCTTTTCAATATTAGCTTATTCCCAAATTGGCTAATGGGTATTTTTAAAGCCATGCTAAATTAAAGGAATTCAATTTTCTCACTAGTATTTGGTAACACATGGGAGACTATGTGTCATATCCAGAAGAGTTCTGTACATGAACTGCATTTAATTGCTCCGAGAGTCACTGGAGCTTTCTTTAATCAGAATGGAAATCAGGATAAGCTGAGGTCTTATAGATTGGTGGTACTTAAGGCAGAAAATTAACACCGTGTTTTGTAGCTGTTAGTTGGTAGAGGGAAATTCAGGCTACCGTCGCGAAACCTGCAGGTTAAGTTATTTTCTCCTCCCTGCTTCTGTAGGTTCACAGCGTTCCCTTCTGATAGAGCTTTTTGTCTGTGTTGTAAAGCTCTTTGGCTGAGATGGATGACAAAGATATTGACAAAGAACTAAGGCAGAAATTAAACTTTTCCTATTGTGAGGAGACTGAGATTGAAGGGCAGAAGAAAGTAGAAGAAAGCAGGGAGGCTTCGAGCCAAACCCCAGAGAAGGGTGAAGTGCAGGATTCAGAGGCAAAGGGTACACCACCTTGGACTCCCCTTAGCAACGTGCATGAGCTCGACACATCTTCGGAAAAAGACAAAGAAAGTCCAGATCAGATTTTGAGGACTCCAGTGTCACACCCTCTCAAATGTCCTGAGACACCAGCCCAACCAGACAGCAGGAGCAAGCTGCTGCCCAGTGACAGCCCCTCTACTCCCAAAGTAAGTAAGGGGTGGGGGAAAAAGGGACGCAGGTCGCCAAGCTCTGCTTTCCTGTAGTTTAGCTGATAGAGTGGATTCATGTGTGTATGACAGTCACCTCCAGGCTGTGTATATCCTCAATTACACATTTATTGATGAAAATGAAGAAATTAAAATTACCAGAAAATGGACAGAATTAAATGGTTTGCCAGTTGTCTTCTCAAAACCACTGGTGCCAGTAACTGTTGGCTATTGGCCACAAACAAATCTTGGGTAGAAAAAAGTCCCTAGTTAAAGAATATTGGAACTGGAAGGAATATTGAGATTTAGAGCTCCAGCTGTGCAGTTTACATATGAGAAAATGAAGGGCCCAAGACAGAAACTGTCTCACAGCTCAGCCAATGTTACAGACAGGACTAGAAACCTGATCTTTTTGGCCTAGTCTATTGTTCTTTCCATTACGCCAACTGGCTCTATTTTTGTGTGATTATTTACTAATACTTTCTAATATAAGAACGTCCACACTCACTGTTTGAACATAGTCATATCTCTTTGCTGCTGCTCCTCCCAGAAACAACTCCTCTCCCCTCCTTGGTCTAATAGAAGAACCTCCAGGTTCTTCTAGTATATGTCAGCAAAGAGGAAACTTGTTGATACTTCTTCATAAGCTGAGGATGGCAAATAAGCAAGAGTCCCTAGTAGCATATTCCTTTATTCTTGTTGTGATTGGTGTCCTGTTGCATCGTTCATGTTATTAAAGCCATAGTTGGGGCAGGGTTGCCTCTAATCAACTCTGGTGCCATGGTGTGTGAGTCCTAGGATTGGTATTAGCTCGGCTTCCTGCTGGTTCAGCCTGAGGCACTTAAGATCATCATAATAACATCTGTGATCCTGACTGCGACACAGTTGCTATCAGCAGGTCTCTTTAGTACCTGCTGGGTGTGGGTACCATGTATACCAGGAAATTCTAAGCTGCTTGTTTGAATTGTAGAAAAACTAATATGCTCCGATGTCTATCTCTGGGTTTTTCAGTGGTCACAGCACCAGCCAATTAATCACCCATTTATTCTTTGAGAATTCCCTATAGGTAAGGAGCATATAATACAGTCTCTGCCCTCAAAGAGCTTACAGTCTAGCAGAGAGAGAGTAGTTATGCCAAAAGGCACTATGTGATAAGTGTGGTCAGAACCCGCTGGACAGATTCTCAGTGTGGTGATCAGGAAAGAAAGAAAGGTATAGGAAGGGCAATGAAAGTTGGTCCAGTTTTGATATATGGGGGAGAATGGGCTGAGAGAATGTGGCTTTGAGTAAGAGTACACAGAGAAGAAAACATGACATTCATTTGATCATTCACAGCTTAACTGAACACCTTGATGTGTTAGCAGACCCTCTGCTGGCAAAACCCATTCACTGCCTTCAAAAAGAGCCCACAAAATGAATAAAGATTAAACAAATGAAACAATAAAGTTCAAAACGTGTACTAGAGGAATGGTTGAGCATGATGAGAAGGAATTAGGAATTACATCTCTATCAGGGAAGACTTTCCAAAGAAAGTAATGTTTGAGAGATGTCTTAAAGGATATTTGGAGTTAGCCAGGCAAAGAGGGGAATAGGAATTCTAGGCAAAGGGAAAAGCATCCACCAAGTTATGGAGGGGAAGGAGCTGCTACACTTGGAAAACAGCATGTTATTCAGTGTGACGGGCCTGTGTGTGAGAGAGTGCAAGAGATGAGGCCAGTGTAGGTGGGCAGAAGCTAGATCAAGATTTTAATCCTGAGAGTGTTGAGAGAGCCATTACCATGGTTTTGAGTAGAGGGATTTTTTTGGAAAAATCATGACCTTTGTATGTATTGTGGGATGGAGCATGAGAGAGCCTGGAGGTAGAGCAGTATTCAGAATAGCCCTGTTGAACAAAGAAGAGCCTGGACTAGGACAGTGAAAAATTCAGAGATGACTTGATGGAGAGGTCGAGGGAAAACGAAAACAATCTGATGACTGAGGTTTCTTGCTTGGTTCAGTAGACAGAATCAAGATAGATGACACTAAGGGATATATGGGTTTGGAGAAAAGCAGAGATGTGGTATAAAAAGTTGGATAACTGGGTATGGGGCACAAGAAAACAATGAAAATTGGAAATCCGTATTTGGATATCTACAGCATTTAGGAAGTAGTTGAGGCCATGGGTGGAGATAAGGTCACATAGCCTGAGTGCCAGAGTAAGGAGAGAAGTGGCCCAGTTAGAAATCTTGGATAATGCATTTAAGGGAGAGGCAGAGAACAGGGCTTGGGAGCAAAACTGAAATGCAACTGGGAAAGTACATACTTTATGAAAACACAGTTTGCGTTAGAGGAAAGAGGCTTGATGGCTGATCATTGTTATGCAGAAGACAAAGCTGCATGGGAAAGGAGGATTGGCTTAGTCAGTCTTGTCCAAGGGATGGAACCAAAAATCATGTGAAATTCAGTTCACTGTAAGGACTTCCTGACAGAATCATCTAGAGATAGAAGAGCATGCTTAGGAGGTGTAAGCTCCCTGTGGCTAAAAGCATAGAACACTCATTGATGACCGACCACTTGGTAGAAATACTGCAGAAGGGATTTGTTAGTCTGTTTGCCTTGCTACAAAGGAATACCTGAGACTGGGTAAATTATAAAGAAAAGAGGTTTATTTGGCTTACAGTTCTGCAGGCTGTACAGTAAGCATATTGCCTGTATCTGCTTCTGGTGAGGGCCTCAGGAAGTTGACAGTCATGGCAGAAGGTGGACAGAAACAAGGCAGCTTGTTACATGGTGAGAGAAAAAGTGAGACAGTGGAAGCAAGACAGGAAGGAAGTGTCAGGCTCATTTTAAACAACCAGATCTGGTGTGAACTAACAAAGTGAGAACTGGTTCATTACCATGAGGATGGCACCAAGGAATCTACCTCTGTAATCCAAATGCCACCCACCAGGCCCTACCTCCAGCACTGGGGATTATATTTCAACATGATATCCAAATGATACCAGGATTCAAGCATCAGGGGACTCATCATATTGACTGGGCCTTTAAAACATCCAAACATCCCAATAATACCAGGATTCAAGCATCAGGGGACTCATCATATTGACTGGGCCTTTAAAACATCCAAACATCCCAATAATATCAGGATTCAAGCATCAAGGGACTAATCATGTTGACTGGGCCTTTAAAATCCTTCTCTGTCCCAAGATACTATGTTTGTGTTTTTGTGAGAGGTTGCCTTCTCTTCTCACCATCTTCATAAGTCAAGTAGCTATCCCCCAAATTTCCCTTATCTCCCTCAATCATCTGTGCTACAGCTATTCCTTATGGAATTATTTGCCCTCTCTAGAGCACATTTATACTCTCAACCTGTGTCATCTTTCAATAAATTTTCAAATTCCTCTGCTTCCAAGCAGAAGTTCTTTTCATATGTCTTATCTCAAACTATGTTATTTGAGATTTTGAAAGGGTTACTCATAATTCTATTATTCCAGCAATAACGACTATATTAACATAATATTCTTCCCTACATCATAAGTGGTGCTCACAAATTCTCTTGGCCCTCATATTTCCTGACTAGAAATTCTAATATTGTCTTCCCTGATATGAATAATTTTTATCTGAATATTTTCTAGGCCCCTTATACTTTCTTTGAGATGTGACAACTAGAACTATGTGCTGCATTCCAGGTGTGGCTACCCACTGTTTCATATGTAATAGATGTGTTTTACTTTCCATATGATAATCAGCATTACAAAAAACGAATTCTCAGAATGACTTACTACAAAATGCTAGGTTCATTTTGCAAATCACATTGATAACTGAGAAATATCATTATAGTTTCACTTATTTTGAACCAATCCTCAGTCTTCATGATAAACACGCAGGAAAGCTGTGAGTCTGTCAGCGAGGGCTTGTCTGCCTCCTGGATTCTTCAAGCAGCCCTATGAACTCCAAGATAGGAGAAACACTTGACTCTGGCAATGACGTCATTTTTCTTCACTTAAAAAAAAGGCTAGGTTACTATGTAAATTCTATAGCTTCCTTCATTCCTGCTTATTCAATCATTTATTTAGTATTTACAATAGATCCAATATTCATTTTTGGTAGCCTCACATTCTTTAATGAATCACGCAATCTGGCTTCTGCTTCTACACTAAAATATCATGGGCAGAGATGATCAGAACTGTAGAAGTCTTTTAGAAAGAGCCTCACAGTGCAATGCTTATACTGTGGCCCCTGTGTGTGCTGCCATACTCCTGAAGATCCATAACACAGCTACTCCTCTGGCCCCTGACATCAGGTCAGCATTCTGCCTTGGAATTCTTTGGCTTTTCCCTTCGCCCTTTGGTTTCATTCTGGTTAGGTTTAGGCTGATGTTCTCTTCTTGTATGCCACTTGGAGTGGTAAGTCCTGCACATTGACCTATTTGTTGGTAGCTGGTTGTAGCCACTGCAAAGATCTGAATCTTAAGGGCTTAGAGTACTAATTTTCAATCTCATTACCGCACTTCATGAAGCACTTCTCAGTTAGTGCTTTATTTTAAGTGAAATTAAAAACTTTTTTCATGTTTAAATAGTCTATGAAATCTTTTCCTTACAAGGTGATTATTTCTGAAACACTGATGAACTGCTGAATAATGAACTATATATTCCTTAAGATTTAGAATTCACTTCTGTACCACTTGGCATCTAACCCAGCATCTGCTACATAGTAGGCACCAAACAAATATTTGGATGAATAATTGAGGGGAAGTTAAAGCATAAGCTCTGAGAATATAGTCATTTTTATTTGTCTAAACTTAATGTCCATGTCTTTAAAAACTGGAGATAGGACTACAACTGGTTTTCATAGCTAGCTAACAGAATTGCCCAGGGGAAGGGGTTGGAGCTTGACTAAAGTACAGATTCCTGTGTTGACTTCATGAATCAGAATATCTAGAGGTAGAGACTGGGATTCTATAGTTTTCATAAGAGGAGCAGTTACAATGCAACCAGTTCACATGGAACCAGATAATTTCTAAGGCCCCTTCAGCAAAAGCATTCTTAGATTCAAATATTAACTAGCTAACTGATAAGGAATGTCTTTACTAATGCTATTATGACTTGCCTTTTGTCATCCTCATTCAGACCATGCTGAGCCGGTTGGTGATTTCTCCAACAGGGAAGCTTCCTTCCAGAGGCCCTAAGCATTTGAAGCTCACACCTGCTCCCCTCAAGGATGAGATGACCTCATTGGCTCTGGTCAATATTAATCCCTTCACTCCAGAGTCCTATAAAAAATTATTTCTTCAATCTGGTGGCAAGAGGAAAATAAGAGGAGATCTGTAAGTGCTCTATTACTTATGACTTTTGAGAACTGACCCTACTACAGTCAAGTAGTAAGAAGTGAGTGTTAAAGTAAGATTAGGAACGAGAACTCTATTTGAATGAAATGTATATGCTTACATATTCTCCCCTTCCTAGATATCAATGCTGGTTTTACCTGCTTTATCACAGAGATTCCAACATCTTTCCATTCTGATATGTACTGTAGATGCTTTCTCTATAAAAGGATAAGACAGAATAAGCAATAGATCTCTGGCTTCTATTAGGAAGTTGAGTGGGCTATGGAATTGCATTCAAGGGGTCCCCTCTGGTTAATATGAGGCTGGCAGTTGGGGAACGTGTAGCTCAAACTTCAAAGAGTACGTTGCTGCTTTGAGTCTTGTGTGACTAGTGATGAAAGCTATAGAGCAAGGATTTGAACTTCTCTGTGGGTGATGGAAGATTGGCTGAAGCAAAAAAGCATTGCTTTCAGAGCTGCTAAAGAATAGAAAGCCAAACTGTACTATTCCATAAAGGGCCCTGAATGACAGAAATCATCCAAATAAGGATTGTGCATATTACTCAGGAACATTACTATGTCTCTCCAAGGCTTTTTTATAGAATGGAATCGCCTCCAAAGTGGGGCAGTCATTTATGTTCATATGTACTCAGCGAAATAAATGGACAGCTAACAATGTAAACTTTGCAGAGCATTTAATGTGCTATGTCAAGTTGTTTCTTTGGAGTCAATGAGTATGTGTTAATCAGTCTTTGACCAGAATAGGTTCTCTCAACACTATCTCCTTCTTACTTAAATAAACAGGACTTCAGCACAAGTCCACCCACCTACTTTGGCTACCAAGAATTCGATTGGTTTTAGTTCTTAAGGAGTCTCTGTAAATCATTATACTCTCACCGAAGCCAGCAACAAAGACAGCTAATATGAAATCCTGACACTTTTGTAGCGTCATTTGGTGCTTCTAAGAGAGTATTTTTCCTTATTTTTATAATTTATAAACACTTCATAAAGTATTACAATGTGGTACTAAATCACAAATACCAAGCATTGATTTATTTCCATGAATGTAGTGCCTTCCATTTGCCATTTCTACCTTGTGTTTCTCCAAAAGAAAAATCTATAGCTAGTTGAAATCTTGCTTAAGGATCCAGAATACAAGTATGCATGGCAAAGAGGATGTCTGCTGGTCACTTAGCTTATCGAAGAGTAATTGAAAATATCTCATCCCGGGTTAGAGCAGATTCTGCCCTACTTGCAGTCTACCTGTGAACCGATTACAAAGCCAGATTCTAGGGGAGGGGTGGGTGTCGGAAAGAGAGTGTGGTGTGGCAGTGAGGAGCAAATGCTTTGGTGTCAGACCTGGCTCCAAGTCCCAGTTCTGCCACTTGCTAATTGTTTGACCTAGAGTTATTTAACCTCTCTCTGTCTTGGTTTCCTAGTTTGGGGATAAAGATACCCATTTAACAGTTGCACATATGTTCTGTGCTCTCTTGCTCCAGCACATGGTGTTTTACCTGCTGAAAACCTCACTCTTTTCCCTTAGCTAGTTCCTACTCGTTCCCAGAATCTTGGCTTATATATTCTCTCTTCTGGGAAAGCTTTTCACTCTTGAAATAATTGAGTGCTGTCCATGGTATCCTTGTTATCTTATCCAGTTCTAGGTTCTTGTATTGAAATTTCCTGGTTATCCCTGCCTCCACATATAAACCGAAGAGAAATGAATTGTCTTATTTACTCTTACATCCCTAGAACCTAGCATAGTTCGGCCTCAATAAATATTAATTATATATTGATAAACTTTTTTTTTCTTTTTTAAGTGAGGAAGCTGGTCCAGAGGAAGGCAAGGGAGGGCTGCCTGCCAAGGTAAGCGTAGTTCTTTGTCCCAGCGGCCACAATATAGGCAGTTTATCCTATTCTTTCTCTTCTTCCCCTCCCCTTCTCCCTCTCTCTCCTCCCTCCTCCCTTCTTCCCTACCCTCCCTTTTCTCCTTCCTCACCCTCCCCTCCTCTCCTTCACCCTGCACCCTCCCTCCCCTTCTTCTACCCTCTCCTTCTGCCCTTCTCCTTCTGCCCTCTCTTCCCCATCTCCCCTCCTCCCCTCCTTTCTCCTACTCTCCTTCTCTCCTCCCCTCCCCATCTCACCCCATCTCACACGCTAGCTTTGTAAATGTGCTTTGCAGCTGAATTTATCTGGACCCTAGTCAGGGTCTGTGTTCTCAGCTAGTTGTAACTCTGCCAGGCAGTGTCTGATATGTATATGCTGGATCATTACTTTAGAGTAATTTTAAAATTACATATTTCTGCTACTATTTTAATCTGGAGAAAAACTCTACACTCATGGGGTAGAGAAGTGAAGGGAAAATTAAGATATTTTTGGTCTCAAAATAGAAAAAGATAATGGAAAAAAGGGGCATAGAGCCAGAGATTTATATGTAAAATTTTAGCTCTTAAATGTATCAATATTTGATTTTATAATGTTCACAATCTTTGATCCATCCCTCATTTGATAATCTAACCTAAGAAAATAATACTGCAAACATTATCCTTAGAGATGTTTATTGTAACAGCAAAAAAGGGGGGAGACCAAATGCCTGATAATAGAAAAATGGCTAAGCTAATTACAGTTTTAAGTCAGTGAAATACTAAATTGCCATTAAGATGTTTATAACACCTTGAAAACATGCGTATGTTAATGTTTAGTGTGCAAAAGACTCAAAATTTTATACGCTGAATGACCATAACTATCTATTGCACATTAATCACAGGGAGAATGAAATGGAGCTATAACCACTGCTATTTCAACATTTTTGAATGGTGGAAACTTCATATTTGTTTTTCCTTTAAATTTTTAAAGTTTTCTGAAGCAAGTTTTATTTGCGTAAATAAATATGTTAATATGTTAAAATGTTAGCACTTGGCTATTGTAAACATCACAGAAAAGGCGGCCACTGGCACAGGTGTTCCTTCAAATGCAAATGTTTCTGACTTATGCCTCCATTATTTTACTGTTGGATTTTATTCCTCACTTATTTTATAATTTATCTCTTGATTTCAGATAGAAATTCTAATATTTATTGAACATTAAATAAGTGCAAAGCATTGTATTTAGTTACACCCTTTAAGGAAAAACATCTGGCCAAACAGGAGTTAAAACCTTTGAAATTTCAAAACAATCTATATGTAAATTAGAAGCTATGAGATATATGTATTTGTGTATATGTGTATGTACATATGTGCAATGTGAATATACATATGCGTGTATATCTTTAAAATCTAGAAGTGGTTAGTAAATACTTCTATGAAATAGAGCTTGGGTAGGAAGAGATTGTATATTAAGATAATTTTAGGCTAAGGAAGTAAATAACTTTTAATGCTATCAAGGCAGGAGAACAGAGTTCAGGTGTAAGAGGGGTATGGTGGGTGGGGAGTGGTCAGGGATAGATGCAGATGGTATACTGGCTTCATTGGTATCTAGGGGGAGGGTAGTCAAGTAGTGAGTGCGCAGTTGGTAGAAGGTCTTGAGGCTTTCTTATCAAGAGTTTGAATTTCTCATGGGAAACAATTAGGCATCTCTGATTCTGTGGTATCATTTTGCAAAAATAATTCTTACTATTAGAAGAGTTAAAGAGAGGGCTGGTAGCTGTAGCCAATCCAGACAAGAAGGGAACAGAGCTTGAGACTGGCTAAGGGTAATGAAAATTAAGAGATCTTGCTGATGAAAGTGACCAGAATTAGATGTTGAAAATGAGGAAGTAGTAAAACCCAAGATTTTTCAAACTCATAAAGTTGGAGAAAAATTCTTCAGGATTGGGACACTGAGAAAAGATGACTTTGGGAGATAAATCAGCTTGGATTTAGATTCATATAAATTTATGGAGATTTTTGGTCATAATAGTTTAATGAGAATTTACTATGTACTTGACACTATCCTAAGATATATTACAATATATGTAATACTGTATATTCTCATGTAATATTTAAAAGAACCCTGAAGAGTGTTGCCATGATCTTCATCCTACAGATAGGAAAACTGAAAGGAGTTCAGATTGGCCTGGGGTTATTTACTACCTGGGCAATGAATGATGTTGCTAGTTGGCCAGTAGCGGGAGTGGTTGCTAGACCTGAGCACATAGTCTGAACTAACCAAAATTGTCAAAGTTTGACAATTTTGACAAAATCATTTCTCCAGGCTGGTATTTTTGGGAAAAGAAACAGAAAACAAGTATGCTTATTCAGCTTGAGATGGAAACATTAGCATTCAGACTTTAAGACACATAAAGAAGGGGGGTCTTTCATTTCTTTTAATTTGCTCCACCCAGGTCCCAGTTATTCTTTGAACTAAGGACAGTAGCTCTGGGAGTGAGAAGTTGTGTCCCCTTAGGAACATGTAGAAAAGAACAGTATGCCCAGATAGAGAAAAGAATATTGAAAAATAAGTGAGAATTGTCAGTATAGGGTTGTACAGAAGGTTACAAAGAAAACAAAGAAGATAGTCAGCAATTGGGGAGATTCTTGCTACCATGAATATTGACCCAAGTAGAATTCATTGCAGTCACCTCAAAAGTCTTTTTGAAAACTTGGAGCAACTTAGGACTGTAATACTGTTTAATTTTATTGCTTACAACATGGTAGAATTACTCTAATTTCCTTTTTATTAAAATACTTTAGAGATGTGTTTTACGAGAAACCAACATGGCTTCCCGCTATGAAAAAGAATTCTTGGAGGTTGAAAAAATTGGGGTTGGCGAATTTGGTACAGTCTACAAGTGCATTAAGAGGCTGGATGGATGTGTTTATGCAATAAAGCGCTCTATGAAAACTTTTACAGAATTATCAAATGAGTGAGTACCTTTGAAATGCACTAAAAATATAAACTTAGATTTGGAGAGTTGTTTCTTGTCAAATTATTTTAAATTAAAGCACCGATGTCATTAAAAATCATTTGTGTTTTAAAATCACCCCACATTATATGTTATCTCATATTCATAACCTTTCTGAGTTTTCCAGCTCAGAGATGTTACTTCCTAAAATACAACACGATCATTTTAGATCATGATGTGTTTTTGTTTGTTTGTTTGTTTTCTGTCACCAGGCTAGAGTGCAGTGGTGTGATCTTGGCTCACTGCAATCTCCACCTCCTGGGTTCAAGTGATTCTCCTGCTTCAGCCTCCTGAGTAGCTGGGACTACAGGCGCGCACCACTACACCTGGCTAATTTTTGTATTTTTAGTAGAGACAGGGTTTCACCATGTTGGCCAGGATGGTCTTGATCTCTTGACCTTGTGATCTGCCTGCCGTGGCCTCCCAAAGTGCTGGGATTACAGGCGTGAGCCACTGCACCTGGCCAATCATGATGTGGTGTTTTGTTTTGTTTTGTTTTTTTGTGGCTTTTACTTTCTACTGCTGGTCTTTCTGACTTTTTAAAAAATGAATAGATTTGTGGAATTGTCCTCTGGTGTCTGTTTCATTTATCAGAAATATTACCAAATAGAAAGTTATTATAAAGTCACTGGTTTATCTTTACTTTACATTAACAATGAATTCAATAGTAAAGTTTCAGAGACTACATGCAAGGGAAAATGAAAGTTTGTTTGATTCCCAGAACTGTTCAAAAGTTCTTCCTTAATCACAAGGAAAACACATATTTTCAGATCAGCCAAGGCTTTTTATGAACTGTGAGGATATACTTAACATGCAGAATCTAGAATTGCAGGTTTTATACAGGTTTTAGAATTCCTCTTTTTTTTTTTTTTTTTTTTTTTTTTTTTTTTGAGATGGAATCTAGCTCTGTTGCCCAGGCTGGAATGCAGTGGCACCATCTTGGCTCACTGCAACCTCTGCCTCCCAGGTTGAAGTGATTCTCCTGCCTTAGCCTCCCAAGTAGCTGGGACTACAGGCATGTGCCACCACACCTGGCTAGTTCTTCATTTTTATACTGAGATTCATCAAGTACTCTATTTTGCTTAATTTGTGTTGGGATTTTCTATTCCATAAGGAATATCTCTCCCCAAGGCTATTCCTGTGAGTATATCATATTGGCTGAGGCTAACATTCACTCTAATGACTGCCTAGCCTTTATAGAGATGAATCAAAGGCCCATTGCAATATCCACAATCTGGTGTACAGTGGCCTTCTCGTTAAGCCCATTAAAATGTTTTGATTGTGATAGGATGAAATGAAGACCTGATGCACATCTGCCATTGAGGCATAACCACTTAAAGCTCCTCTTTACATATGCCATGTTAAAATAAAAAAAAAACAATGGACTTTGGCACCAGGCTGACCAAGGTTCTGCTCTTAAGTCTGCTATTACCAGTTCGACTTTGGGCCACTTACTTTCAACAGCCTTCATTGTTTCCACTGTATATTACCAAATGATTATTAAGATTCAATGAGATAAAATAGTAAGCAAGCAGTGAGCTCTCAATAAATATTCTGCCATTGCTAGTAAAGCCTCATATTTTTAAGAAACATTTTTGTGTGCATTATCTTGATTGATGTTTTTATTCCTCAATGCTTTTCTGTCTCATAGGAATTCGGCTTTGCATGAAGTTTATGCTCACGCAGTGCTTGGGCATCACCCCCATGTGGTACGTTACTATTCCTCATGGGCAGAAGATGACCACATGATCATTCAGAATGAATACTGCAATGGTAAGTAGTATATAGATGAATAACTACGAAGAGGGAGATGAACTTTATAAGCCTTCAGAAATAAACTTTCCCTCCTCCTCATAGTTCATTCCACGGATAGCAGATATACCTAAAAAGTCTGTACTATATATTATAGTCTTGCTTGGAAGCACAGAGCTTCTCTTCCTCTTAAAGGGGTCCTCGACTTATTCTTTCTTTCCCTTCTGTTGTCAGGATAATCATTCAGTTCAGAAAATATTTATTCCATGCTAGGCCTTGGGCAAGTGAAGATGAGTTAGATGTGCTCCCTCCCCTTAAGCAACATCCAGGCTGGTAGAGAAACCAGAGCTTTGGTGGCTGCAGCCCTCCTCCTTGTTGGTAGCACCTCATGACCTCACCTACACACTTTGTCTTGGAGTGACTTCATTTTTTTTTTCTTTGAGATGGAGTTTTTCTCTTGTTGCCTAGGCTGGAGTGCAATGGTGTGATCTCGGCTCACCGCAACCTCCACCTCCTGGGTTCAAGCAATTCTCCTGCCTCAGTCTCCCAAGTAGCTGGGATTACAGACACCTGCCACCATGCCTGGCTAATTTTTTGTATTTTTTTTTAATAGAGGCGGGGTTTCCCCATGTTGGTCATGCTGGTCTTGAACTCCTGACCTCAGGTGATCCACCTGCCTCGGCCTCCCAAAGTGCTGGGATTACAGGCGTGAGCCACTGCATCTAGCCGAGTGACTTCATTTTTAACAAGCTCCAAAACGCTCTTTCCTTACTTATTGTTTCTAATTAATACGTCATATATAGTGTATAAATTCTAAGAATACTTGCAAAAAATAAAAAACTTTACTGTAGCCCTCCTTGTGTTTCCGAAACGAGCTAAATTTTTCTCCCTTCTGAACTTACATGTCATGCTAAAATAATTCTTTAAATTCAATTTTACACAGAATGCATTTAAATATTATTTCCCTCAAATTCCATGACTATCTCAGAGCTCAATGAGTGGAGCTATGGTTTTTGTAACTGCCAGTTAGAGCTGGGTCTCTATAATTTGAAGAACCTGCCAATGAACACTAATTAATAGTGTTCAGAGGCCGGGCGCAATGGCTCATGCCTGTAATCCCAGCACTTTGGGAGGCCGAGGCGGGCAGATCACGAGGTCAGAAGTTCGAGACGAGCCTGGCCAAATATAGTGAAACCCCGTCTCTTCTAAAAATACAAAAATTAGCCAGGTGTGGTGGCATGCACCTTTAGTCCCAGCTACTGGGGATGCTGAGGCAGGAGAATCGCTTGAACCCGGGAGGCGGAGGTTGCAGCGAGCCGAGACCATGCCATTGTACTCCAGCCTGGGTGACAGAGTGAGACTCCGTCTCAAAAAAAAAGAAAAAGTGTTCAGAAGCATTCTAATACCTTAGAATCAAGATCAGATAGCTATATGAATCCAGGCCTTTTATTTAATTGATAACAATAAATCGAGTACAGTTGATGTACAAATACTGTGGCTCAAATAAGATTTAGGTGTATGTGCAGCTTCTATATTCTCCTTGGGTTGGCAGTCATTAAATATTTTATGATCTATTTCTAATGAAATTAGACTTAGACTCCATTAATTAAAATTACTGATGGCCTATAACTACTAGCCTGACACTGACATGGAGCTAATCATTGACACCAATAGTAGCTATACGACTATGCCTGATTGATCTTCTAGTTAATAATTAGGTAAAACTTTTAAAATGTTAGCTGGTACATATTTGAATCAATGGGGCCATATACTGGATACCTGAGATACTGGCATTTTCTTTTCCTCTTTGAAAGCCCTGTAATTCTCCTTTCCAACATGTCTGTGGTATAAATAGGGCAGATATTATGCTTTGTACTGACACCGAAGTAATCTATTCGTTGGACTGAAGGCATTCATGAGGAATGTATTGATCAGAGTACTATGCCATTTTATACAAGGCTCTTGGGCATTTGGGGCTTTGATATCTGCAGGAGGTCCTGGAACTAATACCCTGAAGATATAGGAGGCCAATTGTATTTACTATGCTTTCATCTATAAGACTCATACTGTGGGGCTGTTCTCTGTTGTTCTTTCCCAGGTGGGAGTTTGCAAGCTGCTATATCTGAAAACACTAAGTCTGGCAATCATTTTGAAGAGCCAAAACTCAAGGACATCCTTCTACAGATTTCCCTTGGCCTTAATTACATCCACAACTCTAGCATGGTACACCTGGACATCAAACCTAGTCAGTGTGATTCCCTTCTGCCACTTCTACCGTATTTTGTTCTTTCTATGCTATCATCAAAATCTAGGTCTGTATGTCTATCAAGTGTCAAGGACGGTGTTTGCTGGCAGAACCCCTTTCTTCCATTTGTGTTCCTTAAAAAAAATCAGTTAAATAGTTTTATTCTCCCCTAGGCCCAACAGACATAGAAAAAAAGACTCTTACCCATATAGTAGTAAGGCCAAAAAAGTAAAATTAGGTATTTAATTTACTACAAAGGCAAGTGACAGCATATCAGCTACATTCTGATTATGTTTATGACTAGGGCTATACTCATTCTAACTCTGCACTGATTAAAGAGAAATGAGTAACTGTCACTCATTAATGTGAAACCCAAGGACAAGTTCTTACTATTTTTTTATTTTGGGGACAATAGTACTCTGATACCAGTCCCATCAGAGAATGGAGAATATATGAGATCAGTTGAACTTAAATAGGTATTATCAATCACTAGCTGTTCAGAAGCGATGTGAGATTTCATACAAAAAAAAAACCTTAGTAGTCTATGTCCACACAAAAGAAGAAAGGAGAGAAGCTGAATTGTCAAATACAGAAAAGAATCTTTGAGAGGAAAAAGCTTAGAAGTCATTACTTACATCTATCCTGTCATTTTTTTTTCAGGTAATATATTCATTTGTCACAAGATGCAAAGTGAATCCTCTGGAGTCATAGAAGAAGTTGAAAATGAAGCTGATTGGTTTCTCTCTGCCAATGTGATGTATAAAATTGGTTAGTCTGCCTTATAGCCTTACCAGTTACCATTATCCTATAAAATTTATAGTGATGACTCAATTTATTCATTTTAAGAAAGACATGCTTTTAAAGCTCTTTTGTTCGATTTTATTCTTTTTTCCTTTTTCTTTTTTTTAGGTGACCTGGGCCACGCAACATCAATAAACAAACCCAAAGTGGAAGAAGGAGATAGTCGCTTCCTGGCTAATGAGATTTTGCAAGAGGTATAGATTAGGGAAATGGAGGGTATTTTATAATCTGTTGAACCTTTGACTCTCAAATGGAGGATCTCAGTGCAAAAAATTAAAACTGTATATTTATCATTATAGTACCGCTCTTCCCATTCAGAATGGAGACCAAAGATAGGAGAGAAACTCTTCCAAAAAAGTGAGGAAAGCTGGCTCAGTCAAGGATGAATCAGTATTCAGACTATTCTTTCTAAATGTCCTTTACTGTTTCCCAATATTTCTTAGACTTCCTAACCTCATGGATTGCCTACTAAGAAGGAAGCCTTTTCCTCAAGCCCACATTGGTCCAATCAATCTATCATGCCATTATCCTTCTGATAGCACCACCAGTTTTGGTTATTGAAATGATGTTTAGTCATTGCCCATCTTCTCCAATGTCTGTTGAGTCAGGCCTAGGAAGGATATAACTTCTTCCTGGGTGATAATCAAGTAAAAATGAGTATTCCCTTCCTGTGATCAGCCAAGTTATGTAGCAAGCCTTTCTGAGCCTGACAGCAAAATGGCAGTAAGTTTCTGCCTTGGACTCCTCAGGGCACAGCAGTGTTAATCAGGTAGATTCGTGTTCTCTCTTCTCTAGAAATCACTAACTACAGCGAATGTATCTTTGACCGTCGTGTCTGTTTAAACCTTATATGCACTCGAATGAACCTTTCCTACCAGTTATATTTTAATCTAGACTCACCCTGCTTGGCATAGTAACTGGCCTTCCTGTCTTCTGTTTTGAAGGATTACCGGCACCTTCCCAAAGCAGACATATTTGCCTTGGGATTAACAATTGCAGTGGCTGCAGGAGCAGAGTCATTGCCCACCAATGGTGCTGCATGGCACCATATCCGCAAGGGTAACTTTCCGGACGTTCCTCAGGAGCTCTCAGAAAGCTTTTCCAGTCTGCTCAAGGTGATAGCTCTTACGAGATGAACAGAAGATGCAATATCTATTTTTTTAGTGCGATGGCAACTAGTTGGGCAAAGAAAAATGGAGATGCTAGTAGTGTCACTAACAGAAAAAGGAACGTGACTAGAAGTCCAGAAAAAATAAGGGGCGGGTCCAGGCATGGTGGCTCACACCTGTAATCTCAGCACTTTGGGAGGCCGAGGAGGGTGGACCACAAGGTCAGAAGATGAGACCATCCTGGCTAACACGGTGAAACCCCGTCTCTACTAAAAATACAAAAAATTAGCCGGGCATGGTGGCAGGCACCTGTAGTCCCAGCTACTTGGGTGGCTGAGACAGGAGAATGTCTTGAACCCAGGAGACAGAGCTTGCAGTGAGCCAAGACCGTGCCACTGCACTCCAGCCTGGGCGACAGAGCGAGACTCCGTCTCAAAAAAAAAAAAAAAAAAAGCAGGCAGCGGAGGGGGCGTGGATCGAGAATTTCTTAAGGAAACTCGGAGGATATTGTAAAATCTTTTCATGCTTAGTTTAAAAATCCTGTTACAAACATTTTTTCATTTGTCCCTTCTAACAACCCTATAAGGTAGACAGGTGGCATCTTATCCTGCAGTTGAGGAAACCATGGCTCAGAGCAGCTCCTTGACACCTGTAGTCACAATGAATGACTGGCTAACTCCAAAATCAAATCTGGTCCTTTAGCTCCTACTTCAGGGTTTTAACTATTGTTAGTGATAACAGTGATAGTACTAAAAGAATGAATTTCTATTATATGTAAGAAGGTATAAGACTACTTTATTGATAATTGATAATACCAATTATTTGAGCTATTAGAAAAAAGGCATAATGTCAATTCAAAAATCTATGTTTTACTTGTTCTTAATGACATCTGAGTAGTGTGGGGACAAGAAAAGGAAGATACTATGTTGAAATAGAAACAAAAAGCTTATACTGTCAAGAAGCTTAATCATGTCAAGAAAAGTGTATATATGACTTTAAATCATGTCTTAAGGAACAGGATTGGCTAGGATTCCCAAAACAGCCTTAGAAATATCTACTTCCTTGGAGATTAGATTTTTTTTATTTTTATTTTTATTTTTTATTTTTTGGGACAGGGTCTCATTCTGTTGCCTAGACTGGAGTGCAGTGGCACAATCATAGCTTACTGCAGCCTTGAACTCCTGGGCTCGAGCAATCCTCCTGCCTCAGCTTCCTGAGTAGCTGGACTGCAGGTGTGGGAGATTAGTTTCACAGTTTACCTGCAAACTTCAAATGTATTTACAAATCTGTCCTTCTTCCTGACTTCTTTTGCTTTCCTGAAAGGAGGCAAACTCTTCCTCCTTCCTTTTGTTCAGTCTAATCACCTATTTCCATATGTAAACCACTTTTGCATTTAGTTGATATTTCAGTACCTAAATGCTGGCCCTGTACTAGATAAGACATATATTAATTTTGTTAAATTCTAAAAATAGTTCAAGAAAGTGAATATAATTATCCCAAATTTCAGGTAAGGGAAATGGAGCTTCAGCAAAGTTTATACAACAAATGGTGGAGTTGGCTCTGAATTTGGTCTGAATTTGGTTCAGTGTTTTCTTCATTATATGACAGTTTCAGTTGCTGTATATAATTAGGTATTTTCTACTATATTCAAATCATGATAGGTTACATCGTCTACCTTAAAATAAATGCTTCAGGAATACTGTCATGTTGGGTTATTAATACTAAGTGAAAAAGCAACATGATGTGGTAGAAAGTAAACTGGAGTAAGAGTTGGGCAAACTGGGTTTTGGTCTTGTCCATTCCAGTAATTTGGATAATTTTTATCGAGAGTCTTAGTTTTTTCTGCTTTAAAACTAAGGCAATAGACTAGTTAGCCAGCCAGCTCCAAAATATGATTAAAAACAAATCAAAGGTGTGGACAACTGGTGCTACCAGACATGGACAATCCTCCTGCCCCAGGTGGAGCTCAGTTTTCATTTCTTTCCTCTGCACAAAGCAGAAGCAATGTCTTACAAAATCCACCAGGAGAAGCTGGGTTGGAGTTGGCTTGAATGGGAAGATTTTTCCCAATAGTGAAGCTTCTGTTTCTTTCCTCTTGGTCCTATATCATCAGAACATGATCCAACCTGATGCCGAACAGAGACCTTCTGCAGCAGCTCTGGCCAGAAATACAGTTCTCCGGCCTTCCCTGGGAAAAACAGAAGAGCTCCAACAGCAGCTGAATTTGGAAAAGTTCAAGACTGCCACACTGGAAAGGTATATTTTTGGATGATGGGGGGTCAAGAAAGAATCTGAGCACTACTCACAATGGTATGACTAGTCTACTGTGTCTTCTCTGTGGATTCAAGTATAAATATATTCACCATTATAATACATAGGTCCCTGCCCACAAGGAAACTGGCAGCATGCGGCTCTTTGTAGCATCGGGCTGGGAGGCTCTGTGATTAGGTTGCTTGAGAGAGAAAATTCCAGTTAACGCAAACAAAGGAAGCAAGAGTGAGGAATATAAGGAAATACCAGTAAAGAAAACTTAGGATTCTAAGTGACAGCAGGTATCTTAGTAACTGGTTGGTGATCACCTAATATAAGATAACCACAGGTAAGATGGGTAAGACCTATTTTAGAAACCCATAAATTTCAGGGGCAGGCAGGTAGACATACTGTCCTGGTACACATTTGGAGGAAGGATTATTTTTCTGAGCAAAGAAAACGATCTGTTCCCCTACTCATGTGGGCTTGTATTCATGCATATATTTACTTGTTAATCCATTCCTTCAATAAATGGGAATTCAAATACTTACCTGGCAGGGAAGATACCATGATCACGAAGGTGGTTTTTCCCAGCGTGGGGCTCATCGATTGCACTCCGGATGTGCTGACCCCTGTGATATTCCCAAATGTGGAAAACTCGACTGCATAATTTGTTGTAGTGGGGGACTGCATTCGCGCTTTCCCCTGAAAAACGGAAACAAAAAAATAGGAATTTGATGGGGTGGGGTTGGAGATGAGCAGTGTTCTGAAGGCATTTTTGAGTAATTATTACATATACTGTACACTGTTGAAAATACAAAAGAAGAAAATGAAAAATTGTCCTTGCTTAAAATAAGCTTAGAAGTCCAGCTTCTCTTGGATATACAGTCATCCATCTTGGAAAGATTAGCTTTGAAGCATCCCTAACCTGATTTCTTAGTATTAATAATAACTTGTAGAGACTCTTGGCCTTTAGTCAGGTAAATCTTCCTAATAAGCCTCTTAATATTTTTCTGTTCTAGTTTTGAATTCCATTGTCCCAGCTAATAAAGAAAGTACAAAGTACTATACTTACATATGTTATTCACAAGAATATAAGTACCTCTTAAGGTGTGGTGTATACATTCTGGGAAGCCAGCTATGGAGACACAGGTGACTATCATCAGCCAGTACCAGTGATGGGCACCTATCATAGAGATGGGGCAGACAGCATCTTGAAATTGTCTAGACCAGGGGTCCCCAGCCCCTGGGCCATGGACCAGTACCAGTCTGTGGCCTGTTAGGAACCGGACTGCATGGCAGGAGGTGAGCAGTGGGTGAGTGAGCACTACCGCCTGAGTTCTGCCTCCCATCAGATCAGTGGTAGCATTAAATTCTTATAGTACAAACCCTATTGTAAACTGTGCATGTGAGGGATCTAGGTTGTGTACTCCTTCAAGAATCTAATACCTGATGATCTGAGGTGAACAGTTTCATCCTGAAACCATCTCCTCCCCCGACTCCCCACCCATGGAAAAACTGTCTTCCTCGAAATCAGTCCCTGGTTCCAAAAAGGTTGGGGACCGCTGGTCTAGACCAAGTGTTGGAAAACTTGTTCTGTGACGGGCTAGAGAGTAAATATTTTATGCTTTGTGGGCCATATGCTTTCTGCTGGAATGATTTCAGCTCTGCTGTTATATGTTGTCAATGGCTGTTTTTACACTATAAATGAGTGGCTGTGTTCCAATAAGACTTTATTTATAAATACAGGTGATAGGCCAGATTTGACTCAGAAGTTGTGGTTTATTGACCCTGGTACCTTTCATATGTAGCCTGAAGAGCTGTTCACTTAATTTAAAGCATTTTAAAGATCACTTATACTCCAATCAGCAGAGCCTGGGGAGCTAAACCTGCCATGTTGTATGACATGTGTGTGTCAACCATTTTTTATGACAACCATAGTAACTGAATTTTCTATTCTGTACATAGCTCAGGCTTTTCGTTTCTGTAAATACTGAAACAAGAAGAAAAACATTTATATATTAGTTTTGATCATACATATCTCTGACTGGAGATCAAGTAGCCTTTGCTTTTTCTCCCTCGCACTTCAGGGAACTGAGAGAAGCCCAGCAGGCCCAGTCACCCCAGGGATATACCCATCATGGTGACACTGGGGTCTCTGGGACCCACACAGGATCAAGAAGCACAAAACGCCTGGTGGGAGGAAAGAGTGCAAGGTCTTCAAGCTTTACCTGTGAGTAATCTTCCCCTTAAGAACTCATTTTGCAGCCGGGCGTGGTGGCTCACGCCTGTAATCCCAACACTTTGGGAGGCCAAGGCAGGTGGATCATGAGGTCAGGAGATCGAAACCATCCTGGCTAACACGGTGAAACCCCATCTCTACTAAAAATACAAAAAATTAGCAGGGCGAGGTGGCAGGCGCCTATAATCCCAGCTACTCAGGAGGCTGAGGAAGGAGAATCGCTTGAACCCGGGAGGTGGAGCTTGCAGTGAGCTGAGATCACACCACTGCACTCCAGCCTGGGCAACAGAGCGAGACTCTGTATCTAAAAAAAAAAAAAAAAAAAAAACTCATTCTGCACCAGCCAACCTTTTACTGTAGAACCTCTGTAAATAGATATCAGCTGTCCCAACCTTCCTCTTATAAAATGAAAAAATTAGCCAACTTGAATGCCCAAGGATTTCAAAAGCTACTACTAATTTACCATTTATAGCCAAGATCCTAAAGCTAGTAAGGCTTTGTCTTCTCAAGGGTCCCAGACACAATAATTGGAAGCCATTTCTCTTCTCTATTGTTATATTCCTAATGCCACTGATCAATAACTTATTTACTTCTCACACTTTTGATGAACAGCAGGAGAGCGTGAGCCTCTGCATTAAAGGAAGAAAAGGAAAACAGCCCTTGGTTTGGCCTATGGATTACGAGGTTGCTGTTGCTGATTCCCCACCAAAGATCCCAGGGACTCGTTGTACATAGAAAGGAATAGAATTTAGTTTAGAGTTGAAGTCACAGCTTACAGAAAATGTGCCTGGATTTCCACAGCGCTTCCCAGGTTATATGATGCTGTTCCTAAGAGAGAATTCCCAGCTTCTTTGAGGAAGTGGGTCTCCTAATGTATACCCTTTCTGATATTGTATTTATTAAATAAATGGTTTCACCATTATGTGAGGTGGGTAAAAGTTAGACTGCATGCAACTTGGACATCTCTGAGCTGGTTGTTAACTTGCAGAACAAAAATGCTGTGGGGAGAGGCTTCAGGGAAAACTTGATGTGCCTGTGGTTGTTCTCCATCTATTTGCCCTGCCTCTCTTGCTGTTCTGGTTGGTTTGATATTCTGGGTCTCACCAATTTCTCTTGATTTTTGTGAGAATTTGGCTTTGTTTCCTGTTTTTTAAAATCATATTTTATCTAAATCCTTTTTCTGTACACATTTTTAAAGGAAGAGAATACTGTATTTTTAAATAAAGGTTTTTATCTTGTCCAAAGCCTAATTACAGGTAAAATATCCTTTGTAAAATGTAACTAACAAAGAATGAGAAATTTATGTCGGAGAACATTTTATGAATAAAAGGGTAAGAGAATTGAGTGGGTCAGTAGTAACAGGTCTTGGTGGCAAGTCTCAGCTTCACAGTTCCAACAGTTAATGATGGTCAGGATCTGCTAGAAAATTATGTTGGTCATAAAGGTATTTGATAAGCTCTGTTTGTGTCATCTTAGTGAATGCAACCTGTTAATGATAATGGCTTTTTCGCTGCTTGATTTTCTTCTTTTCCTCATTTTTAAAAGCTAATTAAGTTTTTTTAATTGAATAAACCCTAATACTATTCTTTGTTCTGCTTTGGAGTAGCAGTTCTTTCCATGCAATTAAGTGTGGTGTTGGTCTTCCTATAGCCCATTGCCATTTTTCTTTACTAGGCTCTGTTCAAAATTATAAAATGGGGTTAGTTTATCTCTTGCCACCTCCCCCTCAACACACACACACCAGGCCATGTTCCTTGTAGTATAGTACAAGGTCAACCACAATTTCTGATTTAGAAACAGGGAAATTATTAAGTACATCCAGTGTATAGATGAGAATTGTTTGGTTATATTAGTCTTCTCAGGCATTGATAACTATGACTGTTTGGGTCTACAGCCTCTTCTCTACTGTGTTCCTCAGCCTAGCTTCGCACCTGGTGCCAGTTCCATTGGCTCTGACTCTGGCTCTCTGGCTCCGGCTCTCTGGCTCTCGCTCTCGCTCTCACTCTCGCTCTAGCCCGCTCGGGTCCTCTCTGGCCTACTCGTGCTCGCTCTGGCTCGCTTTCTCTCTCTCTCTCTCGCTCTCTCTCTCGCTCTCTCTCTCGCTCTCTCTCTCGCTCTCTCTCTCGCTCTCTCTCTCGCTCTCTCTCTCGCTCTCTCTCTCGCTCTCTCGCTCTCTCTCTCTCTCTCGCTCTCGCTCTCTCTCTGGCTCTCTCTCTGTCTCTCTGGATCTGCAGCAGCAGGATGTCACCAAAATAGTATGTATCTGCATAGATACTACTGAGTGTGAGGGACTGCGTCTTCACTGGCCTTAGCGTTTCATCCCTTCCATTTCAGTTAGACGCTTATTTCTTACCTCAGTAAGTTTTGTTTTTGCACAGAGATCATTATATAACTTGGAAACTAATTATCACAATTATTTTATTAACATCATTGGGCTGGTAACATTAAAGAAGTTAAATTAAAATACTTTAGAAAATATGTTACTTCTCTATGGATGTATTCTAAATGTCAACACTGACATTAAGGTACCAACAGATACTCTTGAGATCTAGAGGAACACTATTGCGCTCTACTGGTCTAATAAGCTCTAACACATGTACCAGTTTAGAGAATCCATTTACTGAAAGTTGTAGAAAGATGAATATTGAAAGGTATGACCCTTTCAGCCTGAACGACTAAGGCTTTTTATCTCTAGATGAACCATATTTTCAATCTTGAATTAGATAAAAATTGTCAGGTTTTTCTTTAAATTAAAAAATAGCCATAATAACTACTAAGTATTACTAAAATTGCTTTCAAACCATTCTAAAATATATGCAAGTAATCAGTGTAGGTAATAAGTGCTGCAATTTTTCAGTAGTTATGAGGCTTTAGGTAAGCTGATTTAAAATCAAAGTAAAAACCTGATTAACATTTCTTTAAAAATGGATAATTTACAGCAAAACTGTCCAAGGCTTCCTATTTATGATAAAGTATTGCCAGTCTTGGTCTCTACCAATGGATGCCTATAGCTGGAACCTTTTTAATTTAGGGAGAAACAAGTCAGGCCAAAGGTGACTTTGCACCCCTGGGCATTTATGATACACATTTCTTTCTCATTCATCTTTGCAAATGATAAAAAGCCCTGTGTCAGTATACTACTGCCAGGCATTAAAGCTGATTAAAGCCATAATGCTACCTGTCACCACTTCACAGCATTGGGAAGGCCATCTCTGGGTCCATGGATGAACTACACAAAGTGTGTTTATGTGTATCCTATGGAGAGGTTTCAGGGCTTCCTCATCAAAATGCAAAATCTAGGTTTCTGAAAGGGTATCTCTGATACAAAAATACATTGGAGTCACTATTCTAAGTCCTCGATTAAAAAAATAATAATTTTAGGGCTCTTTGAGCATCCTTCTGGGTTCTTCCCAGAAATAAGAATGCTTATTTGAGCATCCCTTCTGGATTCTTATTTCCATACCCTGGCCTGTGGCCTGGGCCCTACTAGCCTGTCCTTGTTTTAAAGTATACTGTGAACTGGATATTCACAAGTTCCTTGACCTCTAAGAGCTCACAGTTAACAGGAGGGATGAGGTACCTTTGTGATCATTTGTTATAAGATGGACTGAGTGAGGAAAGAAAATGAAATGGGAGAACAGAAAGGAAGGACCGTTTGAGTGAAGAAGTCTGAAAGTGTGTGAGGGGAGTGCAGTTCAGATCCTGAGGATGGAGCAATGCAACAGAAGCATTTGTTGTGTTAGGAAGAGGGATCCATTTGATAACAGAAGAAAATGCTTTAATTTCTCCATGACATTTTACATCAAAAAACTGTGTACATTTTATCATGCTTTTCTTTGTCAAAGAAAAAACAACTGAAGTAGCAGCACTGTGACTCTCTCCAGCCAGCAATCTCGGGAGAATGTGTATTGGCAATTCCTGTCTGAGAATTCAGAGTACTCCAGACTCTCCACTAAGATGTTATTTATAAAGTTGTAAGAGTTTGCTCCAGGTTGTCTGTTTTCAATTTGCATGGTGCTTTCTGTATTTTTCTTTATACAACTTCTCCCACACTCCTTACTCCAAAGTATGCAAATAGAAAGGGAGATATTAGTGGCATCATGAAGAAAGAAATTTTAGGGCCAAGTGATTGGATACAGGTGAATGGATGTTGGTGGTCAGAGAGAGATGAAGCTGATTACAAAGTTCAAGTCTGGGAGAATCTTGGTACCATTAAACAAGGAGCTTAGAAGGGAGAAACTGACTTTGGGCAAAAGGGTGAATTGTTTTTCATTTGACTCTACCCCTCAAGTGGAAGCAGGATTTTTAAAGAGAAAATCATTGGAAGTCATTGACAGTAGTAACATAGCAGGTGGGGTGTGGGATTACTAATTCCTGTGCAAGGCTTGAAGGCAGTATAACATGGTATGTTTTAGGAGCTCAACATTGTGAAGGTGCCAGTAAAATGGAGGTAAGCATCTAGAAATACAGTTTACCAACTGGTGAGCAAGACCTTCAGGAGTGCGTTAAAGTGTGTGTGTTGGAAGCTATCTTAAGATTTTATCCCTAAATGGCAAAAATGGGCAGATGAAAGGTTTTAGGTAGAGGCCTGAGGAGGTGATTTGCCTGTTAGAACAATATGGTGGGTACCTTCTTTCTCCACAGTCTGGACAGTGCCAGGACCAGGAGAAGGAGTGGAAGGGGCAGCCCCCGCTGGTGTGGGTTCTGCAATTTATGGGGCTCCATACATCCTTTTTCCCACTAGGCCCAGGGTTAGCGTAAATGAGAAGGAATTTAAGGGGCACCAAGGAACTCAGCAATCAAGATTTGTGATACTTTAATGAAATATTCTTAAAATATTAAAACTAATGAAAAAAATTCATGATGAATAAAATACCAAAATTTTAAATAAAGACAAGATCAGTAAGCTGAAGTTAATTAAAATTATTTAAGGTTGTTACTTGGTCAAGAAAAATTGTGAAGGCATGGCAATTCTCTCAAAACAAGCAAAGCAGATTTGAACACATTACTGATCAGTTTACTTCCATTAAAAGTAAAGTTATATTACATCCATCTTGGCATAAATAAAATATTTAAACTTAAAACAATGTTGTGAATTTTAATACACCTGTAGTGTAACAGGTCCCCCCCACCCGGGTTACTAAAGAGTGTATGTCCACTGCCTGAATCCTGAAGGCCATGTGGCAAGGCCAAGGTGACCAGCCAAAGAGCAGCTGTTTGAGAAGCCAAACATCCCAGAGAATATCTGAGAACCTACCAAAGAAAACAGCTCCATCACACACAGTAGGCTAAAAGCCAGAAAATTAGCTTACAAGTAGCTTAGGGATGGGAGGCCAGGCGGATCTCTACAGCTGTCATGCTGCCATCCAGGAGTGCCTTGTATGTAAGTCCTGATAAACTCCTCTACTCGCCAAGCTGGACTTGTCTGGGTCAATCTTTGGTTTCTCGGCTTCCTCTCAGTTTGGGGGAAGGTTTTTATTAATGCAATTCTGGGTTTTTCTTGTTACAATATCTACTTTAAAAATTTTCAATACTTCTTCAACTACTTTAATGTTCTGGAAATATATGTGTATATATATTGATATATAACACATATACATATATATTGATATATATACACATATATACATACATATATTTTGTGTGATGATATATATATACCGTCTCAAAAATATATATGTGTATATATATTGAGATATATATACACACATATTTCATTCATACATATTGATATATATACACATATATATATACACACATATATATATTTTTTGAGACAGGGTCTCTCACTCTGTTGCACAGGCTGGAGTGCAGTGGTGTGATCATGGCTCACTGAAGCCTCAACTTCCCAGGCTCAAGCGATCCTCCCACTTCAGTAGCTGGGATTATAAGCACATACCACTATGCCTGGCTAATTTTTTTTTTTTTTTTTTGAGACGGAGTCTCGCACTGTTGCCCAGGCTGGAGTGCAGGGGCACGATCTCAGCTCACTGCAAGCTCCGTCTCCCGGGCTCTCGACATTCTCCTGCCTCAGCCTCCCTAGTAGTTGGGACTACAGGCACCCACTACCACGCCCAGCTAATTTTTTGTATTTTTAGGTAGAGACGGGGTTTCACCGTGTTAGCCGGGATGGTCTCGATCTCCTGACCTCGTGATCGGCCCGCCTTGGCCTCCCAAAGTGCTGGGATTATGGGCGTGAGCCACGGCGCCCGGCTGCCTGGCTAATTTTTGTATTTTTTACAGAGACAGGGTTTTGCCATGTTGCTCAAGCTGATCTTGAACTCCTGGGCTCAAGTGATCCACCCCCTCAACCTCCCAAAGTGCTGGGATTACAAACATGAGCTACTGGACCTGGCCAAAATTTTTTTAATTAAACATTTTTTTTTGTTTTTGTCTTTATTTTTAATTTTTGTGGGTTCAAAGGAAGTGTATATATTTATGGAGTACATGAGATATTTTGATACAGGTATGCAACGTCAAATAAGCACATCATGGGGGATGGGGTATCATCTTAATTTATCCTTTGAGTTACACACAATCCAATAACACTCTTATTTTAAAATGTACAGTTAAGTAATTATTGACTATAGTCAACCTATTGTGCCATCGAAAATAGTAGGTCTTATTCGTTCTATTTTTTTGTACCCATTAACCATCCCCACCTTCCCTCCAGCCCCCCACTAACCTTCCTAGCCCCAATTTTTAAAAATACATAAGTACACATATACACAGGGGTGCATATTCTTCCTTGTGCCTCAGGCTCCAGTCTGGCTTGGATCCTGTATTCAGTTAAAATTTTAATACAGTCATGCACTTCATAATGATGTTTTGGAAAAAGACTGCATATACAACAGTGCATATACAAAGGTGGTCCCATAAGATTACAATGGAGTTGAAAAATTCCTATCGTCTAGTGACATCATACCTGCTAAAACATCAGAATGCAATGTATTACTCATGTGTTACTTGATATTAATAATGACTATGTCACTGGTTTATGTATTTACTATACTTTTTATTATATTATTATTTAACTTATTTTTTAAAAGTTAACTGTAAAACAGCCTCAGGCAGGTCCTTCAGGAGGGATTCCAGAAGAAGACACTGTTATAGGAGATGACAGCTCCCTGTGTGTCACTGCTTCTGAAAACCTTCCAGTGGGACAAGATGTGGAAGTGGAAGGCTGAGATTGATCATAATGACCCTGTGTAGGCCTAGGCTAATGTGTGTGTTTATGTCTTAGTTTTTTTAAAAAATGGCTAAAAAGTTAAAAAAAAAAAGAAAAAAAGCAAAGGTAGAAAAAAGCTTGTAGAATAAGGATATAAGAAAAATATTTTTGTACAGTGGTACAGTGTGTGTTTTAAGCTAATTGTTATTACAAAACAGTTAAAACGTAAAAAAATTTGGAAGATTTATAAAGTTATAGTGAGTGAAAGTTTATTAAAGGAAGAAAAGTATTTTTTATAAACTGAGTGTAGCCTAAGTGTACAGTGTTTATGAAGTGTTTAGTGGGTACAATAATGTCCTAGACCTTCATGTTGGGCCACCACTCACTCATTTACTCACCCACAGCAACTTCCAGTTCCGCAAGCTCCATTCATGGTAAGCGCCCCATACAGGTGTGCCATTTTTATCTTTTATACCGCATTTGTACTGTACCTTTTCCATGTTTACATATGTTTAGACACACAGATACTTACCATGAATTACAATGGTCTGCGGTATTCAGTACAGCCCCATGCTGTCAGGTTTGCAGCCTGGAAGCAGCAGGCCACACCACAGAGCCGAGGTGTGTCCAGGCTCCACCATCTAGGTCGTCAAAGTACATTCTGTGGTGTTCGTACAGCAACAAAATCGCCTAATGACGCAATCCTCAGACCTTACCCTGTTGTTAAGGTACACATGACTCTTATTTTGTTCCTCCCGGATTTCCTGCATTAATTTTTACTTTTTAAAATATTACATTAATATATTATTTGATTGCCAGTTTTTCTGGTGCTCCCTTAAATTGCACAGCCTGCCAGCCCTTCCCTGGCTCCCCTTTCTTTTTCTGCTTTTCTTAGTGCTTCAACAGACCTGGGACGTTCTTTTTCTTTCTTTTTTTTTTTAATTTTCTTCTTTTTTTCTTTTTCTTGTTTTGTTTTGTTTTGTTTTGAGATAGAGTTCGCTCTGTTGCCCAGGCTGGAATGCAGTGGTGCGTTCACGGCTCAATGCAGCAACGACCTCCAGGGCTCAGGCGATCCCCCGACCTCAGCCTCCGGAGAAGCTTGGACCACAGGCGCGCGCCACCACGCCCAGCTAATTATATATTTTTTGTAGAGACAGGTCTCACTATGTCGCCTAGGCTGGTCACAAATGTTGCTTTTTTTTCCCTCCAGGCAGAGCTAGTCTCTGTTTTGCCTACCTCGCCCCCTCCTGGGCCCAGTTAGAAACCTCATCACATAATTTCATTTCTTTCCAAACTTGAAACCTTCTAAACTTGAAACCTTCTAAACTTGAAACCTTCCAAACTCACCACTTGGCGGCGTTGATCCATCCGCCCGCGCACAAAGAGAAGATCGCGGAACTTCAGAGTTAAGGGGAGCCGTTTCCCGCAGCGCTAGCCGGCAGTATTTCCAAGGCGCAAGTTGCGGAGTTTCTGTTTCCTTTTTCCTCTGGCGAGCTTTGCGTTCCCTGTGCGCCGGAAGTGATCCCCTGCGTGGCTGGGCTGCTCGGGTTAGATCGTCAGGTGAGGGAGGAAGGGATAGCCAGCGCGAAGGAAGTGCTGGAGTCGTGTGTTTTGGCTGCGCGTGATCCTGCGTGGGTCGGGAGGTGTTTCTGTGTAGGTGTCTGGCCCTTTCATCAGTCGTGCGGAGGACCGCGTGATTTCCTTCCAGTTCTCCTCGGTTTTCAGGTGGTGGCGCCATCTTCGGTAAAGGGTGTCCACCTCTCCCTATGGTGTGGCTGGCTAGCCCGGGGGTCTCTACGCTGCTTGGTCTTTGTTAACGGAGATGAAGGCAGTAATTTTTCAGTAACAGGTTTCAGATATAAGTCCCTTGGTGATGCTAATATTTATGGAGGCCTTACTATGCATTAAGAACTTTTTTAGAAGTTTAGAAAATGGCAGTGAATAAAGCAGATACAAATCTCTGCTCTAAGGGAGCTTGCATAGTAATGAAATTTGAGAAGACAGTGGATTGGAAGTGGGATTAACTCAGAATCAAAATTTTGTCGATGGGTTGGAGGAAGAGGAAGTTATTTGGGACCAAAAAGACATACAGGTGTGAGTTTATTTGGGAGGGAGGAAGGAATCCTCATCAGATGTGCAGGAATGTTGGTACGTTGTGGTCACAAAATTGGAGTGCATAAAAATTATGAATATAGTTAGGAATTTAGGACTGGTGAGTTGTACTTTTGCCATAAGAGGTAATGTTTTTTTCTTATTTTGTTTTTTTCCTTCAGGAAAAGCCTAAAGATTAGACTGTAAGAAAAGAAAATAGAAGCCATGTTTCGAAGACCTGTATTACAGGTAGTCACTTGTCTGTATTAATACTGAGATGTATTACTATCAGCCACAGTGATCAGAAGACTTCTTTAGGCTTTTAACTACAGGGGCAAAAGACCTTTGAGCTCACCCACCCACCTCTATACTCATTTGATATGGAGGATTGGGGACGATTTTGCCAGTGTAAATTATGTTCACTAAAACAAAAAAAAAGTTCAGGTTTATTCACACGTAATAGGAATCATTAATTTTTAAAATGTGTGTGTGTTGCTTGAATTTAACCAGTGAGAGGACATTAAAGGTCTTTAGTGACCTAAAGACTGTAGGAATCATTGTTCCAACTTTTTTCTTAAGGCATGTAGTTGCTTTTTTGACCATCTACCTCCTGTGTTGCTAAACGTTCCTCTTCCCCCATCTTTCCACACTGAAGAGAGCATCTCAAGTCTCAGTGGTCACCAGAGATTTCACTATGTAGAAAATGCCTTCTCATTCCACTTAGTATGGGTCCTCACTTTTCCAGACACTAGCCCACCTTGAGCCAGCTTAGACTACCATTTTTCCTCACTTACCACATTCGGGCACCAGCTCCTGTAGATTCTTCTTTGGCTCTCCTACTCCCCATCCTCCTGTGAAGACCAATGAAGAACCAGTTCCTCCATGACTCTGTCATTTTCCCCACCTTAATCCTATATTCTTGGATCCCCACTTTAACCTGTATGTATCTTTAATCTATTTTTTTCTGTATTGAAATGTGAAACATGAAAAAGTTATTGCTTCTTAACACTAACGTTACAGTATTAAAATGTCTTTAAATAAGAGTTAAAAGTTTAATTTAAAAAATTATCCAAGTTAAATAATCCTTTCCTAATCTTCTCCAGTAGATTTTTGTGTGCCCCAAATGAGACATTGTTATTATAAATCTCTGTGTAAGATTTATGAGGTCTAGCTTGTCTGAGCACTCAAATGACATTTCCAGAATCATGACACAGGTTCTCATTAGCAGTTTGATTCTATAGTATGTTGTACTCATATCTTTATTTTCTTATCTGCCCTCTGCTCCTAAGTTTAGTGATAGGATTAGATAGCCAACAGCACCCTGGGGATTGGTGTTTATTTGATTGGTGGACTTCTGCTTTTTATATTAACAGTACTGCCACTTCAAAAATGTTTCTCTGATAGAATGGCTAGCTCTCTGAGCTCTGAATTCAGTGATGTGTACTCCCATCTTTACAGGAGCTCTTGAAATTAAGGAGGCAGCAGAGGGCTTCGGGAAAGCAGTAGCATTGGTGTCAAGGGCCCTGGGTCCTTGAGATCACTTGCCACATACTTCCTGCAGGAGCTTGGGCAGGTGATGCAGTCTCTCTGAGGTGTTTTCTCAGCCCTAAATGGGAATAATTTTACATAACTTGTAGATTTAGTTTTAGAATTGATAATAGATAAATCCCTTAGCTGATATTCAGTAATGATTGCTGCTATTATGTGGTAGTGACTACCTTTGCTGACAGTGATGTGACTTTGACTTGGACAGTCGAGTCTTTGTGTTTAATCAAAGAACCAAATTTATTAGACCTTTTTTGATGCACTAAAAACAGGAAATTTCCTATGAAATATTTATAAAAACTGTATTAGGCTAAGCTCACTACTGAAGCTGTTTAATTTTTGCAATAGCCTTGTGAAGTAGGTATTATGTATCATAATTTTTGCTTATTTTAAAATGAAACACTTTAGATTAGTCATATTAGGTATCCTAATTCCTTTTAAGGTCTGAAGGAGCAACCAGGGGAAGGCAGTTTCATAGACACAGGGAATCTGACTTTGGAATATGTTCCTGTTGCTGTGTCAGAAAGTCATTCATGTGATTAGTTTTAGAATGTATTGTTTTGTTGGAATGTAACCTATCTCTCGTTCTCTAAACCAGCAGACCCCAACCTTTTTGGCACTGATAACTGGTTTCATGGAAGACAATTTTTCCATGGAGGAGGGGGGTGCCGTGGGGATGGTTTCAAGATGAAACTGTTCCACCTCAGATCATCAGGCATTAGTTAGATTCTCATAAGGAGTGCACACCCTAGATCCCTCGCATGAGCGGTTTATAATGGGGTTCTGCTCCTGTGAGAATCTAATGCCACTGCTGATCTGACAGGAGGCGGATCTTGGTCAGTAATGCTTGCTCGCTGCTTGCTGCTCACCTCCTGCTGTGCAGCCAGGTTCCTAACAGGCCACAGAACTCTACTAGTCCTCAGCCCTGGAGGTTGGGGACTCTCCTCTAACTGGCTGTTCGTTATGCCTGAGAGTAAGGCTTTGCATTTATTCCACACCTCCTGACACTTGTTTGATCATTGCATATGTTATTAATGAATCTACTTATTAAATTATTAATTATAAAGCATCTCTTTTAACTCTCCTTTGGTCTAATGATGGATTAAATCAGTACCCATGTTGGATCTAAATTTCTTAATTTCTAAAGTCTACTGTAACCAAAATACAGTAGTAATATACCAGTTGTTTATACTAAAAAAAAAAATTAGAGGATGTATATATTGAATATATGTAGTACTTTTTGTCTCTTTTTGTCTTTCCAGCTAATGAAAGCTGGATTTTGAAAATACTTGGCAGCAACTCTTAGGTACAGGTTGGATTTACAAATATTATCATACTCTGTAATGTTAAAGTGATACTATTTTGATTTTTCCTTTTGTGTGCAAACACAGAAGTGCCATAATCAAGGAGATGTCGCAAAATAAATGGGAGTACTATAACTTAACTTTGAGCATGCCTTCTAGTACCTTCCTTCTACCTTTGGGCTTCTGCATTAGGCTGCTCTTGAAGTGTTTGCCGGGGCCTTCTGGCACTCTGTTGGGAGAACATGAGAAGAGCTTCTCTTCTCTTCTGGAATTTTCAGGAACTACTGACTATATGGTGAATGAACGTGAGTAATTCTTCTGTTTGCATTTGCCTTTCCTAAAAAATTAAAGCCATGTTATTCATTTGTTCTTCTTTAGGTACTTCGTCAGTTTGTAAGACATGAGTCCGAAACAACTACCAGTTTGGTTCTTGAAAGATGTAAGTAGCTAATTTCCAAGTTTAAAATGTTATTTTTAGTAATTTGCCAATCTCAAATGTGTTGTAGAAGAGGTATGCTGCTTGGGTTAACCATGTTGCCATTGTGCTTTTAGCTCATGTTTGCTCTTCAGATCTTAGCCTTGACACATCAGGCTGTGGAGACATAGTATAAACTGAGCCCCTGTTCTCCTTATCAGCCAGTTACTACTCATTCTTGTCAACACTGTCCTGCATAAGAATTTCCTTGAGTCATATTTGGTTATCTGAGTCTTCCCGGGTTATGTTGTATTAGGCTGAGATTGTAAAAGATATTGTTTCTTCACAGAAATATTCCCTTGTGTTTATAAAGATTTTCAGATCTCAGATTTGTTCTTTTAGCTCCACAGTCAGTTAAAAAAGATATCTTAAAGAATTTAAGATCTAGAGCTTACAGTTTGTTTTGTGGGGCTGCTTTCTCTATGACTATTTTCTTCTTTCTTGCCAACTCTCTTCTCTCGCAACCTCTCCTTATTCATTCCTTAACTTATTTTCTGATCTTCCAGAACTTGGGTTTTACTTAATGCAGAGATTGAAGTTGAAGTCATATTTATAGCATTTCTTCTGGACATTTCTCTCAGTCTTGAGTGTGGATTTCTTTTTTTTTGAGACTGAGTCTTGCTCTGTCGCCCAGGCTGGAGTGCAGTGGCGCGGTCTCCGCTCACTGCAAACTCTGCCTCCCGGGTTCATGCCATTCTCCTGCCTCAGCCTTCCAAGTAGCTGGGACTACAGGCGCCCGCCACCACGCCCAGCTAATTTTTTGTATTTTAGTAGAGATGGGGTTTCACCGTGTTAGCCAGCATGGTCTCTCTCTCCTGACCTTGTGATCCGCCCGCCTTGGCCTCCCAAAGTGCTGGGATTACAGGCGTGAGCCACCGCGCCCAGCCAGGTGTGGATTTCTTTAATGGTCAGCTTAGAGGCTGCTATAAAAAAATACCATAGACCAGGTGGCTTCACCAACAGCATTTATTTCTCACAGTTCTAGAGGCTAAAAATCCAAGATTCGTGTGCCAGTATGATTGAGCTCTTGGCGAGGGCTGTCTTCCTGGCTTGCAGATGGTTGCCTTCTCACCGTGTCTTCATATGGTAGAGACAGAAAGTTCTGAACTCTTCCTGTTCCTATAGGGACACCTCACCCTCATGACGTCATCTAAGCCTAATTACCTTTTAAGGATCCCACTTCCAAATACCATTACATTGAGGGTTAGAGCTTCAACATACAAATTTTGGGGGAAGGGGCACAACTATTCAGTCTATAGCAGGTTGTCTCATTTGGTCTTGATGTTGTGTTTCAGCCCTGAATCGTGTGCACTTACTTGGGCGAGTGGGTCAGGACCCTGTCTTGAGACAGGTGGAAGGAAAAAATCCAGTCACAATATTTTCTCTAGCAACTAATGAGATGTGGCGATCAGGGGATAGTGAAGTTTACCAACTGGGTGAGTACAAAAGACTGGGGTTTTAATTTTATCAGCAATAAATAGATATTATTTATTGCCAGTTATCTAATTTAGAGATAAACCACTTTAAACAAGATCTGTCTTTCATTCTGTTTGTTCTCTTAGAAATCGTGACATTGGTTTTCCTGGGCATGTTGTCTGTTGGCATTTGTAACCAATTTCCTATTTTTATGATTTAGGTGATGTCAGTCAAAAGACAACATGGCACAGAATATCAGTATTCCGGCCAGGCCTCAGAGACGTGGCATATCAATATGTGAAAAAGGGGTAAGTTGAAGAGGGAAGGATCTTATGAATTGAATGATTTAAAGAACCGATAAGAAGTGTTCTCATGGCAAGGAGTGTGTAGTCTCTTAAATCCCTGAGTACTACTAATGACTGTATTAATTTAAGAGGTATTTACTAAGTCCTTGATACTATATGCATGGCATGTTGCCATGTGTGACTAATTTGAAGATATATAAAACATAGTTTTAGCTTTCTAAGAACTTACAGTTTAGGGCAAACAGGGTGTGTACATAAATAGAAATAGATGAGGCAGGAGAGAAGGCAAAGTGTATCAAGTGGCATTTGAGCAAGTCAAACATCTGCTTTGAGGAATTCCTGTGCCTCTGTGGCCGGGGATGCTGAGGGTGGCTTCTTGCCTGTTGGCTGCCACATGGTATTTCCAGCAGAGGATCTGGAATGTCTGAAGCCTGACATGCCAACTTCATCTTCGTGGCAGTTATTTTATATTTGATGATTTTCTGTAGGCTTAATAGTTCCCTTTTGGAAGGCTTGGATTGAGTATGTATAAAAAGTATGTTTTCCAAACTCATAGAAGGACAAAACGGTGTGTGTAACAGCAGTTGTATTGATAGTTAATATGTTTAGAAATGTACTTGTTTTGTAGAAAGAAAACATATTTTATGAAAAATAATTTAGCAATCACTAAAATTTTTCTTTTCAATAACTGTATAGCTTTTCTTCCTATGTATCTTCATTGCCCTTTATGTATGTTTATGAATATGTGCACATACACACACAAACACATATAAGGTATTTCAAGGGAAGTGTCTGCACTCCCACTTACTGATTGATGGGTGTGTGTGTGGGGTGGGGAGCACCTGATGTTTCACTAATCTTTCTGTGTTGTACTTTTTTGGTGGTGGTAGACTCTCAAAACTGGTACTATTGTCATCTTTCCACTCTTGAAAATCACGATTAGGTTTGTTATCTAGTTTAGCCTCTAGATAGTGTAGAAATAGTCTTAGTAATTACCTCTAAGTGGTATACTAAGCTGATACAGTGTAGAAATAGTCTTAGTAATTAACTCAGGGTAATATTATACTAAACTAACTACAAATCCATATTTTGAATTTTAATCATCTAAGTTTCTAAGGTCATAGAAAATAATTGATAAATAAGTGAAAATCAAGTCTGTTAGGGACTCCAAAATCAAAGGTCAAGGAAAATGATACATTGGAAATTATTCCTAGAGATTTAAATGTTGCCACTAAATTTCCCTTTGAACTGTTTTGTTTTATTTTTTAACTTCCGTAAGAGAAATAGCTGACAGATGAAAACATTGTCTGTTTTACCTAGATGTTACCAAGTCTGTTTGGACACTCTGTTTCAGTACTCCTAATCCTGAACCTTGAGAAGTGGTAGCAAAAATTAGCTTATATATGATTATATATTTCATCCTTGTCATATACTCAGTACCACCCTGACCTGACTCTTATAAAGCATATTAAGATCTCAACTAAAAACTGTACATTTTATTTATATCAGGTCTCGAATTTATTTGGAAGGGAAAATAGACTATGGTGAATACATGGATAAAAATAATGTGAGGCGACAAGCAACAACAATCATAGCTGGTAAGAAGCTTGTGAAAATAGCTGTTTTTTTCTTTTTCTCCTTTTCTTTTTTAAAAGCTTGGCTACACTGTAACTAACTAGGGTTAAGAGTACCAGTACTTATGAGTTAAGGCAACTCACTAGAAGATGTCCATAACTCTTATTTCTCTACTTGCTAAGAGTTTGTACATTTATCCCTTCCTTTAAAAAATTATTTTTATACTTACAGTTTTAGTCACAAGTAACTTTTGAATAAAGCCTAAAACTGAATTATCCATCCCAGTACTTATTGTTGAGAATTACAAAAACTCTGAATGTATTGTCTTTTGGAAGGATCTAGCCCTAACCAGGAAGAAGCGTATGCCAAGATAAGAATTACACTAATGTGAGTGTGCAGATTTATTCGGAACCTCTTTGGTACTTAGTATGTGAAATTTCTATTTGAAATTAAGATTTTTTTAATTTTATTTTTTTTGAGCCAGAATCTCACTCTGTCACCCAGGCTGGAGTGCAATGGCACAATCTCGGCTCATTGCAACCTCTGTCTCCTGGATTCAAGTGATTCTCCTGCCTCAGCCTCCTGAGTAGCTAGGATTATAGGTGCGTGCCACACCACCTGGCTAATTTTTGTAATTTTCGTAGAGGCGGGGTTTCACCATGTTGGTCAGGCTGGTCTTGAACTCCTGACCTCAGGTGATCCATCCACCTCGGCCTCCCAAAGTTGTGAGATTACAGGCATGAGCCACTGTGCCCAGCCAAGAAGTTTTTAATTTTCTCTTTTTTTGTTTTTGTTTTGAGACAGGGTCTCCCTCTGTCAACCAGGCTGGAGTGCAATGGTGTGATCACAGCTTACTGCAGCCTCTACCTCCCCAGGCTCAGGTGATCTTCCCACCTCAGCCTTCTCCCAAGTAGCTGGGACAACAGGTGTACACCATCATGCCTGGCTAATTTGTCAATTTTTTTGTAGAGATGAGGTTTCACCATGTTGCCCAGGCTGGTCTCAAACTGCTGGGCTCAAAT